>NT_187527.1:0-174166 GCF_000001405.40 Homo sapiens | reverse complement strand
CTGCCTCTGCCCTGTGTCAGGTGTCCTGGAATCCCACCTGCAGGTTCCGGGGAGAGGACAAAGTGGGATATCCCAGCCTTTAGCGTCCCAGTTGGACGCTAGATAGACTAGCAGGAGAGAAGCATCATACAGGTTTTACATAGCATGGGAGCCCCCGTATGGAAATGAAGACCCCAGAGAGGCCGTTATCAATTCACTAAATCATTCCAGGGGGCTTAAAACATACGAGTTATCTAACAAGGTCTGTACAATGTTCTGTCTGCTTCAGCTTCTCATCCTTGAAGATAAGAAGGCTGCCTTTCCTTCCTTCCTTCCTTCCTTCCTTGCTTGCTTGCTTCCTTCCCCCCTATTTATGGTCTCCGATGGGTGTAGAAGTTAATTTCTTGGATGTTTACATTTCAGCTAGGGCTGGTGAGAATAAAAAACCTCCAGGCAGCTTTGAAATCAGTGTGTTTTTTGGTTTTGTTTTAATTATAGTTGTAGCAGTGGGTTTTATCTTATTTGAAAATGACTCATTTTATGAATATCTATAAGTTCACGTTAAGGCTTCAAGTTTCCCCCAAAATATGTTTGGACTTCATTTTAAGTAGACACAGTTTATAAAACAACTATCATTGAAAAGTTGATGAACTTTAAAGTCATTTACATTCACCTACAATTATGCTTTAATTCCTTCTTAATCAAAACTGGCCATTGAAGGAGTCAGGAAGGACCATTCCAGATGATGCTTCTTTAACACAAATATTCTTTTCTGCTAAAAGCAATGAAGAAGTAGCAGAGGAAGGGCTCTATTTTTCCTTCCATCTAAAGAAGGATATTAATTTTCTTAACTGGACACAACTCTTACCAGCACAGAGATGGCAGCAGGGGAATCCTAATTACATCTTACTTCACTCATTTATTCTCATAGTTTTTGCCTCTGGAAGCCAAAAGCTGTTTTCCTTTATAGACGTGAGTTTTTACAAAACAGTTTCAAAATAGCCAGCTAAATGCCAGAAAGTGTTTAGTTTGATAGACAGTCTTTTCAACTTTGCTTGTTTCTTGATTAGATTGCTAACTTCAGGGTAGAGCCCATTAAGGAATAGTGGGGAGAAAACATTTTTTTATGTCTGCAATCAGCATGGGTAGCTTTGAAAAAGAAGCAAGCCTGCTGTTTTTCAAGTGATTCTAACTAAATTGTCAATATGCCAGAATAGCATATTTAATTACTTTATCTCCTTCATCTAGAACTTCCCTAGAGGTTCCATGTGTTAAAAGATGAATTGGTGTTTGTGGAGAAAAGCTGGGGAGCTCTGAATAAAGGGGGTGGGGAGGTCAGCCAGAGAAGGAGGAGGAGGATGTGCTGTGGGAAGGGGAAGGAAGGGCTCTGGGAAGGAGGTGCCTTGGCTGGTGTGGAGACAGTATTTTGCAACGAGGCCTTTTTAAAGTCCTGAATGCACTTTGAAGCCTCAAGATGGCAACTAAAAATACGCGCCTCATTCAGACTGTTTAACCCAATAGCTGCAATTTTCTAATATAGTTCTAGGAAACCAGTCTGGGGAGTTGGAATGATTCTCAAATGGCCACTGGAATTCTAAATCACCCTTGGTGTCATCTGTCCATGGGCTTAAAATGTGCACAAAGGGCCACAATGTTTGAATGTACGACCAGCTGAGCCCCCGAAAGCCGGGCGTGCCTTACACTTTGAGAATCCCATTCTGTCTCCTACTGCACTTTTGAGAGCAAAAAGAAATTCATATAACCGCTGTATGTGATATTTGCTCTTTAAAGATGTTTTGAAACAAGCAGGGAGAGCAGAAGTAAAAAAAGCCAAATCACTTAATCACTTATGGACGCACAGAAACAAACAAACCAGAGCACTCCCCAGGACCAGAAAGGACAACCCGGCCTCACAGGGTCCCAGGACGGACGCAAGGTCCTATATTAAGGTGGCCTGGTCCAAGGCAGATCCCGAGCGAAGTCAAGCTTCTGCCGGAAGGAGGGCTCTCAGCCTGGGAGAAGATGCACGTGGCAGAAGAGGTGGGCCGCAGAAAGGAAGAGCTCAGAGGCCTCAGGCGGGCACTACACAGCAGTTCCAAGAATTGTCACTTCCTTCTGAAGGCCATCTTCCTTCTGGTCCTATTTCTGGCACCAGATTGTGCCATCCTGAGCAGCAAAGGGAGCGGCTCTCAGGATAAGTGAGTTTATTTGGAACAACACAGAGGCATAAGGACTTTCAGAGCGTCTGTGCAGCCGCTCTTACCACAGACGCACAAGCAGGAGGCTCCCTTCCTCATATCTCCCGTGCGTCTGTGCAGCCGTTCTTACCGCAGACGCACAAGCAGGAGGCTCCCTTCCTCAGGATCTCCCACTCTGCTTTAGGAGAGCAACTGCATCCTGGCATCAGCAACTTCCACAGGCTCTGAGGGATAGCGTCAGAACCAGGCACCGAGCAACCTACTGGGATTCTGGAACAGAAATTATAATAACATGTAACCTTTATAAGATCCCCAAGAGGGTCTGATATATAGCCGAGTTAGGGAAGACTGGAGTAGTGAGTTGAATTATGTCTTCCAAAAATATG
This sequence comes from Homo sapiens, assembly GCF_000001405.40. Taxonomy (NCBI): domain Eukaryota; kingdom Metazoa; phylum Chordata; class Mammalia; order Primates; family Hominidae; genus Homo; species Homo sapiens. The sequence goes on along the minus strand of NT_187527.1, from coordinate 171,603 downwards.
TCTAAGTCCTAACCCTATATGGCTTAGCTAGGTCCCCACCCAAATCTCATCTTGAACTGTAGTTCCCATAATCCTCGTGTGTCATGAGAAGTGATTGAATCATGGGGTGGTTCCCCCATGCTGTTCTCATGATAGTGAATGAGTTCTCATGAGATCTGATGGGTCTTTTTTGTTTTGTTTTTGTTTTTTTGAGACGGAGTCTCGCTCTGTCACCCAGGCTGGAGTGCAGTGGCACAATCTCGGCTCACTGCAACCTCCACCTCCTGGGTTCAAGTGACTCTTCTGCCTCAGCCTCCCAAGTAGCTGGGATTACAGGTGCACGCCACCATGCCTGGCTAATTTTTGTACTCTTAGTAGAGACAGGGTGTCACCTTGTTGGCCAGGCTGGTCTCAAACTCCTGACCTTGTGATCTGCCCACCTCAGCCTCACAAAGTGCTGGGATTACAGGCCTGAGCCACCATGCCTAATGGATCTGATGATTTTATAAGGGGCTTTTCCTCCTTTTGCTGGGCACTTCTCCTTCTTGCCGCCATATGAAGAAGGACATGCTTGCTTCCTCTTCTGCCATGATTGTAAGTTTCCTGAGGCCTCTCCAGCCATGCAGAACTGTGAGTCAATTAAACCTCTTTTCCTTATAAGTTACCCAGTCTTGGGTATTTCTTCATAGCACCATGAGAACGCGCTAATACACCTCAGTACTTGTGAATGTGACCTTATTTGGAAATCAGGTCATTGCAGATGTAATTAAGTGAAGGATGTTGAGATGAGATCACACTGGGTTGCCCTGGTGGACCCTAAATCTACTGACTGGTGTCCTTATAAGAGAAAGGAAGAGGGATATTGGCACAGACAGAACAGGAGAAGAGAGAGGAAAGTGGAGAGGGCACATGAACAGAGGCAGAGATGGGAGCAATGCAGGCACAAAAACACAGGCCCAGGGACACCTCGGGACACCAGGAGCTAAGAGAGGCAGGAAGGCTTCTCTCCTCAAGCCTGGGAAGGGAGTGAGGCCACCAACATTTTGATCTCAGATTTCTGGTCTCCAAAAGCGAGAATAAACTCCTGTTGTTTTTTAGAGACGGAGTGATACGGTTTAGATGAGTGCCCTCCACATCTCACGTTGAAATGTGCTCCCCAGTGCTGGAGGTGAGGCCTGGTGGGAAGTGTTGGATCATGGGGGCAGATCCCTCGTGAATGGCTTAGCACCACGGCCTGGGCGATGAGTGAGTTCCTGCTCGGTTGGTTCTCGGGAGAGCTGGTTGTTTAAGAGTCTGCTCCCTCCACCTTCTGGCTCTCACCACGTAATCCTGCCTCCCCACTGCTTCGGTTGTTTAAGAGTCTGCTCCCTCCACCTTCCGGCTCTCACCATGTAATCCTGCCTCCCCACTGCTTCGGTTGTTTAAGAGTCTGCTCCCACCCACCCTCCGGCTCTCACCACGTAATCCTGCCTCCCCACTGCCTTCCACCATGACTGGAAGTTCCCTGAGGCCTCCCCAGAAGCAAAGGCTGGCACTATGCTTCCTGTACAGCCTGCAGAACCATGAGCCAATTAAATCTCTTTCCTTTATGAATTACCCAGCCTCAGTATTTCTTTATAGCAATGCAAGAACAGACTCACATGCAGGATCTCACCCTGTCGCCCAGGCTGGAGTGCAGTGACGCTAAGCTGTGGGCCACATTACCGTATCCCAGACAGCCAGGACTTGGTCAATGACTGTGGCTTCCTGAGTTGGACTCCTCATCGCCTTTCAACTCAAGACCAAGCTGGGAAAGCCACATGTGCTCCATTACCAAGCCCGTAGGCCGCCCCCGCTCCCCAGAGCCACAGCCTCCACCAGGGTACGCCAGGGCTGTCTGTTCCACTGTGAAGCTCCCCAGCCCAGCTGCCTTCAAGTCACTGTCCAACACAAACAATGTGGCCAGGCCCTTGCCCAGCCAGCCCTGGGTGAGCCCTACCTGTGCTCCTGGGGGTCTTTGATGACATCCACTGCCTGGGCCAGCTCCCTCGACACTCTCCACCTCCCGTCCTAGCTGCCCCTCACATCGAGTGCCCCTAGGCACCCCCCAAGAGCTGCAGACCCCTGCCTTCCTTCTCCACATCTGCCCCTCACAGGCTTCCCTGCCACTCTCCCTGCCCTCCACTGCCACTCTCGCCCTGACCCTGCCATGTCTGCCCATCATCCTCACGTGTGCACTGCTGGTGGTGTCTAGGGTCAGGCTTGTCATGTGTGGCCCCTGAAGGCAGACGGTTCAGCAGTTTGCTCACTGTTCTTCCTCATGCCTCAAAGTGTGTACACATGTTCATGGCAGCAGGTACACATGTTCATGGCAGCAGATACACGTATGTTCATGGCAGCAGGTACACATATGTTCATGGTGGCAGATACATGTATGTTCACAGCAGAAGGTGCACGTATGTTCATGGCAGCAGGTACACATATGTTCATGGCAGCAGATACACGTATGTTCATGGCAGCAGGTACACATATGTTCATGGCAGCAGGTACACATATGTTCATGGCAGAAGTTACACATATGTTCATGGCAGCATTATTCACAGCCGACGAAAGGTAGAAACAGCCCAAATGCCTAACAGGTGTGAAAGGAAAACAAACCTTGGGCCCCCAAATTCCTAAGCTAAAGGGAAAATTCTAGCTGGGAACTGCTTAGGGCCAATCTGCCTGCCATTCTCTTCAAAGTCTCCCCTCTGCTCACTGAGATAAATGCATATCTGACTGCCTCCTTTGGAGAGGCTCATCAGAAACTCCAAATAATGCAACCATTTGTCTCTTATCTACCTATGACCTGGAAGCCCCCTCCCTGCTTCCAGTCTTCCCGTCTTTCCAGATCAAACCAATGTTCATCTTACATATGCTGACTGATGTCTCGTGTCTACGATGTATAAAACCAAACTGTGCTCCGACTGCCTTCAGCATGTTATCAGGGCCTCCTGAGGCTGTGAGACCTGTCTCAGTTACTTTAGAAAGTTTATTTTGCCAAGGTTGAGGACACGTACCCATGGGGAGGAGAAAAATGATCCTAAGGGGTAGATGTAAAGAAGTACTGTAAATAACAGGCCAATAGCGTGTCCAATCAATCGGACACCAAGACACTTGATGTCTCCTTTCCGCAAAAACCCTCACCCCAGGCGAACAAAGGGATGGCCACTCTAAGCTTCCTGCAGCGTCAAAAAGATTTCCACCCCCTCCTATCCCTAGAAAGAGGACATGTCGATCCCATTCTTCCCTGGAAAGGGGAGGATCAAGAGGAGGTGGATGCCTGTCCTGCAGCAGGGCAGCCTCCTCCTGTGCATGACCACATCTCACACTCACACCTCTCTCCTCCACACCCCCATGTCTCTCCCCGTTGAACACCCATGTCTCCCTCCCTTGAGCACCTGCCTCTCTGTCCTGCTTGTTCCAGTACTGGGGAGACAGGGAGCCACCAGGCTCTGGATTGGGAGCCCTGGGAAGCCACCCCGAGGGGCAAGACAAGCTTGGGTGAGCCTCAGTGCAACAGAAAGTGCAGTTCACTCTCACCAGGCTCCATCCTCCACCGAGAATGATCAGGCCTCAATCCATTCCTCAGAAGAGGAAACGGTGAGCACTTTATGCTTAAAGACAACATGGCTTGGAACCACCAGGGCACTGCTGTTATGATAATTCACCAGCTTCAGCATTCGGTACACATGACCAGAGTGTGTCAAGAATAAAGACCATGTGACTGATAACAAAGAGGGAAAGAAAGAGCAGAAAGGGACCCACGGATGATCCAAAATGGTGTTGCCAGAGAAGGACCTTAAAGACAGCTGTGATGAATGAGCTCAGTCACAAGAGATGGGAAAATGAGGGATTCCGACAAAGAAATGGAAACGTTAAAATAATAACACAGACGTTCTTGAATTGAAAAGTATGATATCTGAAATTAAGAATGAAATTGGTGGGTTTAATAAAAATTGAACACAGCAGAAGATAGAATTTGTAAACATAAATGCAAGTCATTATAAACTACCTCAACAGAAGTAATAGAAAATACTCAAATGAAAGGAATGGGAAAAAATAAATAGAAAATCCAGAAAGGAAAAAAATAACAGATGAGACATAGTCAATAGGTCTGAGATATGCATAATCCCAGAGAGAGATCAGAGTTAATGGGACAGACGAAATATTTGAAACGATAATGGGTGGGAATCTTTGAAAACTGTTGGAAGACCTTAATCCACAGATTCATGAAGATCAGCAAATCCCAAGGGGGATACATGTAAATCCCACCTTGGAGCACCCTACTAAGAGTAATGAGAGCCAAATACAAAGAGAAAAATCCACAAGCATAGGGGAATTGTCACGTGCCTTTCTCGGTAACTGGGATAACATAAAATTAGTCAGGATAAGGAAGACCTGAGCAACATAATCAACTAGAGCGGCCCAATTGTTCTGCCTCAGACCTTGTATCCAAAATGGCTTGCTTCCTCTTCTTCTTAAGTGTACACATAACATTCACCAAAATTTCCATATGTTGGGACATAGGGAAAGCCTCAAATAATTTCAAAGGATCTAAATTTAAAATTCAGAGCATATTTTCTGACCTCAGTAAACTTAGAAGTGAAAAAAAATACTAAAAAATGCTAAACTTCCTGGAAATTAAAGAATATGCTTCTAAATAATCCAGTGGCCAAAAGAAATCATAGCAGAATTTGGATATGTGTTGAATAAATGGTGATGAAGAAAAGACACATCAAAACTGCAGGATGCAGCTAAGCCAAGAGAAAATTATATTCACTGGAGCCTGCAGGGCAGCCACCCCGGCACAGGAGAGAGAGGACAGCGACGGGCCAGCGGAGACCTCAGGACAGCCCCGGCCTGGGCACATCTGGCTCCTCCCCCCGGCCTGGGCACCTCCGGCTCCTCCCCACAGCCTGGGCACCTCCGGCTCCTCCCTGGGGCCTGGGTACATCTGCTCCAGGCCTTTGCAGACACGGCGGCCGAGCACCCCCGGCCGGGCTGTGCAGCTGAGCACTTGGTCCTCTGCTCTGGGGGACAGTAGCGTGGCTTTTCCCACAGCTGGGGTCCCTGCAGCATCACGGGGCCACAAGTCGGGGTGACCTGCCTGCTGCGGGCTCCCTGGGTCAGACGCCCTCGAGCCTGGGTCCTCCAGCTTCCACTCCCCACAGCCTCTGGCCACAGATTCGGTTGGAGTCGCTGCTGAGGCCACAACAGAGGGCTGCGGCCGAGCGTCCACCAAGACAGGGGTCCGGCCTCCTGCCCCACCTGGCCCTGAGCGGAACCACTGCAACCCCTTCTCACCCTCCAGGAGCAGCCGCGTGCGGGGAAACAGCATCCCGTGTGAGGTGGAACCGGGAGAGGAACCTCCCCCCGCACCTTCGGGTGGACCCGGAATTGCACTCATTTATGTGGCCATTTGGAAGATGCCCCCGTGCGCTGAGCCCCCCGTCCCCTCGGTTCCTCCCTTCTCCCTCTCCTCCCCCCTCCCCTTCCCCTCCCTCTCCCCCCTTCTCCCTCGCCTGCCCCCTACACCCACCTTGCTCTTCCCCCACCCCTTTCCCCTGAGCCTCACTCCCGACTGAGCCGGCAGCCCTGAGCCTGTATCTCAGGCGCTGCTTCCCGGAGAACCAGCTAAACACTCTTCACTCTCCGTCTGAGGGGCTGCTGTAACCACCACCACAGAGGGGGCGCACACAGACCTCCATTGCTCACAATCTGGCGGCTGTGGGTCTGAGGTCGGGCCGGCCGGGACGGGTTCTTGCTAGGGCGGCTTCCTGGCCAGGGCGGTGGAGAGCGAGCTCTGGTCTCCTCCTCTTCCTAGGATGGCACGAATCCCCTCATGTGGCCCCACCCTCATGACCCCATCTAACCCAAATCACCTCCCAAAGGCCCACTCCAGATGTCATCACAGTGAGGCTTGGGCTTCCACAAAGGGCACGGTCCCGTCCCCGGTAAACATACACGCAAGAGCTTAAGGTTCTCAAAGTCATATCGTGGAAAACATTAGATTTCCTTAAACGTTAATATGCATCTTATTTGTATTTAAAAAGGTTTAACAGACAACCCTGTCTCAAAATGATGCCAGGCAAGCCGAGAGAGATCATCACCCATTCTTGTAATCCAAAGCTTAAAAAAGTCCTTTCCTGGCTGGACGCAGTGGCTCACGCCTGTAATCCCAGCACTTTGGGAGGCCGAGGCAGGCAGATCACCTGAGGTCAGGAGTTGGAAGCCAACCTGACCAACATGGTGAAACCCTGTCTCTACTAAAAATACAAAAATTAGCTGGGCATCGTGGCATCTGCCTGTAATCCCAGCTACCACAGAGACTGAGACAGGAGAATCACCCACACCCAGGGGGCGGAGGTTGCAGTGAGCCGAGATCTCACCATTGCACCCCCACCTGGACAACAAGAGTGAAACTCCATCTCAAGAAAAAAAGTCCTTTCCTTCTCTGGATGTGCAAGGAGCAGGAAACTGACCACAGACAGCCAGAGCCATTTCCAGGTCCTTCCGCTGAAGCGCTCCTGAGCACTCCCTACCTTCCCTGCCCAGCACCCTTCCCTCCCGAGTCCCACCTCGATTCTCTTCCGGAGACACGCAGCCTGGGCTCCGTGGGCTGCCCCACCCTGCCCTCCAAGATGGTCCCGTGACCCAGGCCTGGCCGATGAGAGCACCCAATGCCCCACTGCAGTGATGGGCTCAGAGGTGGGCACAAGGCCCCAGCCAGTGCCAGCGTCTCAATCAGAGGCTCCTGTTTGAACTGCTGGGAAGAGGAAATCTCAGAGTAGACTTGAGGCTGCAAAGAAATGACCGTGGCTGCCAGGAGCTGGCAGGAGGAGAAATCTGGGGGACTCATTTCAGAGGAAGGCATGGGTAAGAGATAGAGACCACTGAAGCCCCTAGATCCACCCATTCCTGAATGCCCCTTTGCAGTTAGTAATTGCATACATCAACAACCCCTGCCCCTTCAATGACATTCTTTTTCTGGCTTTTATCAGCTTGAATTGAGTTCCTGATGACTGCAAACAAAAGAGTCCCACTCAAGTAGTTGTTGGTGCCGTTTTTGAGTTTAGGGCACTTCTGACTTTGAAGTTAAACAGTTAAACACTTGAAAGGAATGCAGTCGGTATGGAGGTTTTTGTTTTTACTTATTTGTTGCTGTTATTTTACACAAAACAGGAGTTTCAAACATCTGGAGGCTTTTAAGGATGGGGATAATTTCTCACAGCAGCCTTAAATGCTTTGAGGTGAAGCCTCCTGTTTCTCACTAAACTTATTTTCTCAAACATCTGGGCGGCTTTAAGCATTGCATTTAAGCAAACACTCTAAACTTGTGAAGCAGGAGAAGAAAATAGGAGGCTCAATGCCCCATGGGGTTTACAGTGCAGGGGTAACTTCTGGGGGTGAAAGGAGGGACAATGCGGCCAAGAGCTAGTGGGGCCCAGCTGCTCCTCACCCCATCACCTGCAACAAACCTCGAGGCTGCCACGCGACCAGGCGAGGCCCCGCCCTGCAGCACACGGCCCTAACCCCACTCGGGGCTCCACATTCTGCCTGGAGAAAGGTCGCGGGGGCTTGCGGACGGCAGCTGCATTCCCACAGGGAATACCCCAATGGCATCGCCATTCCATCTCAGCCCCAGCAGCTCCAACCAGCACGGGCCCCGCCTGCTGACCCCCAATGCCCCTTAGCCTTTCGCCAGCCTGGGAATTTTCAAGGCTCCACGATTTCATCGCAAACAGCAAGCGCTCCACCTAGTGGACAGAAGCCGGAGCTGCCTCCCGAGACGGTGAGGACCAGCTGCAGGGTTCATCCAGCCGGGGCTGGAGCCTTCGCTTCTTTCTCCGGCGAGTCCCACTCCCTTCACTGACAAGAGGAGGCAGCGGCATCAGGAAGACGTCACCGTGGTTCTTCAAACCCAAGAGTCAAACCTGTCCACAGGGTCGATGGTTACACAATTCTCTCGTTTCCGTAAACTGCCCCTACGCCAAGGTTTATTTACTCTAAAGAGGTGTGGGGTCCTGGCAGCAGGGGCCCAAGGAGGCGTGGATTCCGCCAGGACGAGGGGTGTGACGGCCTCACCTGCGTCTCACGCTGGCTTTGCAACCACAGGTTTGTGAAAATAAATGAAACGCATTATTCACTGTGCCCATTCGGCTCCAAACAGCAGGTCACTGTTGTGCAAGAATGACCCAAGAGGATGGCAGGGGAGATGGCGAGGCAGGTCACACACGTCCTAAACAATGGAGCCTTACCCACCCCAAACACACGCACACACAGACACGGGAAAACACAGGCATATATGCAGACACACACGTGTGTTCACACACAACCATGAAACACAGAAAGACACTTGTACGCACAGACAAGCCCTGAGACAGCATGCGCACACAGACACGTGTGCACACACACATGCACACCTGTGCTCACACATGGACCCATGCACACCTGTGCTCACACACGGACCCATGCACACAGACACACGCATGCACACCTGTGCTCGCACACGGACCCATGCACACAGACACACACATGCACACCTGTGCTCATGCACGGACCCATGCACACAGAAACAGAGAAACACACCCACACAGCCGCATGTGTGCACATATTCATGCACACACACACAGGGACACGCTTCCCTCACACAGACTCCCCCTTTAGGCCCACCCTCCCAGCCTCCAGCACAGGCCAGGTGGAGCACCTGTGGTCAGGAAAGATGGAGACAGGGGAAGCACAGCCCTTTTCAGGGAGGACAGGAGGACCGAGGATCATGGCCTCTCTTAAGGAGGATTCCGGGGGATAGGAGGAGCACGGCTCCTTCCAGGAAGGATGGGGGTTGGGGCGAGCGTGGCTCCTCTAAGGGCATGGGAGATGGGGGGAGCCTGGCTCCTCTCGGGGGGACAGGCTGTGGGGGAGCAGGCACCTCCCAGGACAAGGGGTGCTGTGGTCCCCGCAGCTTCGTGCTGGCACTGGTGGCTGGCTCACACAGCCTTTCTGGAACTTTAGTCCTCCCTCAGAGCAATTTGGGAACTGGAGTTAGGGCCAGCGAGGATGAGGGGGCACATAAGAGATGAGAGGACCTCACCCAAAGCACACCCCAAGCCAGGGCTCCTGCCTCCCCTGGCTCCCTCTGCCTCCGTCCCCCTTGTGAGGTGGGGTCCCCGGTGCTGCTCTCCCCACGGCCCCCTGACCGCGGCTGTACAGGTTTCTTCTCACACCAGTAAGTCCTCAACTCCCACCCGGCCCAGGGAGGGCTCACCCACTCTCCACAGGCATTGAGCCCACAAGACGCCCCCACTTCCAACACCCACGGTACATGGAGCACCCCTGGCCCCCGGCTTCCAGATTCAGCAGAACAGCTCCCAGGACGTGGAGGCGCCTCACTGTCACCCGCCTGGGAGAGGCACACGCCAGGCACAAGAGAGGTTGGGGGACCTCCGGGAACCACCATGGTCACTGCCATGCAGGCCCCTGGACCCTCATTTGGGGTTTTTTATGGGGTTCCAGACATGACCGATTAGGCCACAGGCCTCTGGGGACTGACCCCATCCGGGCCTCTCCCTCTCGGGTGGGGTGGGGTTGGGTGCGCCGGGCTGACCCGCACCGGTTCTACTGGCAACCAGCCCACCCTCCGGGAGCCGCTCCCTTAGCATCGAAGAGTGAGAAGATCCAGAGTGGGAGCTCCGTGCCCACAAGCCGGACAGAGACTGCGTCTCCTTCTGTGATGCTGCAGCAAAGGGGTCCGGAGAGGCCACCGCGTCCCTGCCCACCAGGGCTTCTCCAGCCTCCTCCAGCCAGGGATCAACCCCCACATGCAACCTTTCTCCTCTGCCCTGTGCCCCACAGCCCTGCTCACCCACCTCACACACACGTACAGTCACACAGACATACAATGACACACCATCACACAAAATCACACATCCACCCCATCACACACAATCACACACAGACACACACCATCACACACATGCAGTCACTCACACACCATCACGCACACACAATCACACACCATCACACCAGACACACCATCACACATACACACATAGACACATACACGTGCAGCCACACAGACACGGTCACACATCACACACAGACACAATCACATGTGCAGACACCATCACACACACAGAATCACACACAGACACATGCACAATCATACCATCACACACCAAGACACACACATCATTATGCACAGACACATGATCACACATGGACACAATCACACACACACACAGAGACACACATGATTACACATCACAGACACAATCACACACACACACAGAGACACACATGATTACACATCACACACAGACACACACAGAGACACACACGATTACACATTATCACACACAGACCCACACATCACACAGACACAATCACACATGATCACACGTAGACACACAATCACATATAGACACAGACATACACACCACACAGACACACACATGAACACACACAGACACGTCGAAGCACTGCTCAAGTCCCATTCGGGGCTGGAGCCCTCGACCCTCTCACAGGAGGCCGACGTGGCCGCCAGGCTCTGCTTCCCCGTGCACAGCTCACCGACCGCAGGTGAGGGCGCTGGCTGAGCAGACCCGGCCTCCCATGCAGGGGGAGAAAGAGGCTCCTGGGGCGGCCTCCACCACCCAGGTGTGGACAGAAGACCAGGCTCAGCAGGAGACTCTGCAAGAACCAGATGAGAACCCTCATCTGACTCGGAGCCAGGGTCCAGGAGGCTGCAGACAGTCCAGGAGTCACTCCCCACGCAGTCCAGAGAGAGTGGGGAGCAAAGCTGGCCTCATCCACAGCAGGGCAAGCCCCGGAAGCCGCCCTCGGGGGTTGGCCATGAGGTGGAGGCTTTCGCTGGAGGGCAGGTTGAGGAAATTCCCCCTCACAGTGACAGGGTGGCTTAGGAAAAGCTCAGAAAGCTGCCCCGTAGCCACTGCCAGGAAGTGCTTTCCGATGTCTAACCTAAGTCCTTCGTGCTACGGTTTTCAAATTTTATCCTCAAATAGTAACAAGCCACGTGCCTCAAATACCAAAGCCTATGAAGACAGCACGTGACCTCCTCCCCTGCCCCAGCCCCATTCCCCGGCCTCGCCCCTCCCAGCCTCCCGGAACCACTGCTCATGATTCCTTTCTCCGTTCCAGGACGGTAAGCCCAGGTCTGGGCAGGCCCACGGGCAGATGGCCCTGCACGGGGAGCCTCACCCCAGGCCACAGATAAACAGAATGCTTCCCATCGCCTCCGCGTCACACACACGTGCAAACAGTAAACGGAAACACCGTGTGAAATTCTGAAACCTCTACCCGTGGACGCTGCATCTGGGCGGCGACGTGAATGGACGGCAGGTGGGGGCGTGGGTTTTTCACTGAGGTGGGGGGTGGGGCTGCAGGGGCAAAGGGCGGGGCCAGAACGATCCATGGGGCGACCGACGGATCGGAGCTGGAGACACTGGAAGTACCTGTAGTGTCAGAAAGCGAGGAGATGCACAAACACACACCACAACGACGGGGCTCGCCGCGAGGACACGGGGCTCGTGAAAAGCGCTCCCGAGGCCAACGCTGGAACCATTTGAACGGGAAAACAGAGCAGCGCTGGGCGGTAACCCGAGGTGTAACGGAAGCATCCGCAAGTCCACACGGACAGAAAGAAGCTCTGGACAGATTTACCGCCGGGCGAGGAGAGCCCAGCACGTGATCCAGCTCGGGCTCAGGGATGGTCCTGTCGGTGCACGAGAAAACCCAAACCCCAAGAGGGGCGTTCCGCGGAGTTCCTAACAGAGCCCTTCAAAACCCTCAAGGTCGTCGGAAACAAGGAAAGCCTGAGAAACGTCCAGCCAAGGGCAGCCCCAGGGGTCGGGTGACTAAACGCCACATGTAGTCCCAGAGGCGGGGCTGGCACAGAAAGACGGAGAAAACCAAGAAAGCGGAATGAAATATTGTCCTGTCGATGATGACGGATCAGTGATCAGTGTGGGCTGGTCAGTTACGACACAGGCACCAGTACGGGGACGTGGGCGTGGGGTCCACGGGACTCTGCCTTCTTCTCCGTCATCCTGTAAATATAAAACTCCACTAAAATTGTTTGGAAGTTTGTTGAAATAGGGAAGCTTAAAGAACAGCTAAGTCCGGGGTTCAGGGACACGGGGGTTTAGACGCTCTGGGGTTTAGGCACTGGGGTTTGTGCACCCTGGGGTTTAGGGACATGGGGGTCTGGGCGCACGGGGGTCTGGGCGCACCGCACTCGGTGCTCCCTTCCGGGGGCTGCCCTTCTGCTTCCCACACACGCTTCCATTTTCCTTTTGTCTTTTTGTCTGTCCCGCGGGTTTGTCCTTTCCCATCTCCTTAGAAAGCCTTAAACTCCCTTAGTACTGTGGGTGAGTTTTGATTTTGCATAATAAAAGTACATTGTGAGACACTGTTTTTGTTGTTGTTGTTATTTAAAAAAAAAAAGTGAAGTTAGCTGCCTATCTCAGCAAAGCCCATGTGGAGTGGGTAACGGGTGAGCTACAGACCCCGTGCGTCCTGACATTAAAGGCGTCTCGGGACAGCCCAGCTCACTGGCATGAACTTCCCTCCACGGCCATGGCCACACACTCAAGCACACTCACATGCACACACACGCACACACACCCACAGGCACACTCACACGCACACACAAAGCACACAAACACATGCACACTTACATGCACGCACACAATGCACACTCACACACATGCACACTCACGCACACACACCCACAGGCACACTCACACGCACACACAAAGCACACACACATGCACACTTACATGCACACACACACAATGCACACTTACACACATGCACAGACACGCACACCCACACGCACACGCACACACACGCGTGCATGCTCATTTCACCCACACTTCCTAGTTCAGATCACACTCATCCCCTCACAGTCAGTGAGGTCTGTAAAACGGGTCAGGGGTGACCATGGTCCACGGGTGCTGCAAACTGCTGAGACAATATTTTCCTGAAAAAGATCATCTGAAGCCATTTTGGCCACAGTGTCCCCGCACCTGTGCAAATCCCATCAGGCCTCGTGGTGCATCTGAGAGCTGTTGTGCCTGGTCCCTACGTAGGGACCATCGGAAAGCCACAGACGCCCACTGGTGCCACGGCAACCCCTGGGTGGCGCTGGAAACTTGGTTCCACCTGGACACACTCCCGCCCTGCACCCTCTGCCCCAAGCCCCACCTGCCCGGCCCACTCCCACCGCGGGCTCCGGCTGGGGCTTGGCTTGGGTTTGTCAGGCGGCACCCAGAAGGCCTGTGCCAGTCCATTTTCACATTGCTATGAAAGAACACCCCAGGCTGGGTGAAGTGTAAAGAAAGGAGGTTTAACTGGTCACCGTGCTGCAGACTATGCAGGAAAACTGACGCCAGCAGTGGCTCCTGGTGAGGCCTCAGGAAGCTTCCTCTGGTGGTGGAAGGTGAAGGGAGCCTGCGCGTCACAGGGCGAGAGCGGGAGCAAGCAGGGGCAGGTAGCAGGCTCTTTAAACCACCACATTGCGCATGAGCTCCCATGGCAAGGACGGTGCCAAGCTATTCATGAGGGATCTGCTCCATGGCCCACCTCCACATTGGAGGCCATGTTTCCACAGGAGACTTGGAGAGGACACATCAAACCGTACCAGGAGGGTGGGGGCAGAGCTGCGGGTGGCGACTGCCTCCAGGCAGGTGGGGTGATGCCCATCGGGGCGGCCTTGGTCCTTCCCTGGCCATGGTTAACCTATTTCCTGCCAGGACCGGGCAGATTACCAAGTGGGAACGGAAGATGCTGAGTCTAATGGCTCCTTTCCCCGTGGCTGCGGTACAGTCTCTGCTGGCCACTCAGGGCTGACAGTCTCTGCCAGGTGCTCCAGGGCCATTGATGAACGCTGGATATTCCCCCAAGAACACAACAAAACTATCTTGTCTACACAGCTTGCCTTGGCTCACTTTTGAAACAATGTTCGGACTTTCTACGCAAATTCCCATCAATCAGTTATATGATGAACACCACCAGCTGCAGGCCTCTATCCACGGCTCCCCATGAAGTTATCCCTTATAAATAACATTGTGATTCCATGATAAAATAAAATCATGTTTTTGTAGAAAAATAGCTATTCTATAAATAAAAATATAAATAAGAATAAGCTGTTCTCAAGGCAAACATCGCATGGATTTTTCTGTTCCACACGTCCTGGAAAATGCACTCCACGTGGGGTAGGGACAAAGCCTAGACTGTGAGACTGTGTGCAATGGCCTCTTCGAAGGCCCCTCATTACCTGTGTCCCTCGCCCACCCTGCAGTCTCCACGGAGCTCCCGGGAGCCATCTCACCCATGCCACCTGTCAGTACGACCTGGGCATGGCTTGGCATCAACTCCCCTGCCTATTTCAGTAGAACGCCATCTGCTCTGCACCTCAGAATGTATGTCCTGCTTTTGATAAACTCATTGGAATCTACATATCCCCTGATATGCAAGCACAGTTTACACAACGGCATCTAAATGGAGAAACTGGGTTTCGTCCACACTTCTCCACAGCCTTCCGCCCTCTGGGAAGCGACCTCGGGGTGGCAGCAACTCCCGACCGCCTGCAGGACCAAGTCAGGCCCCAGCTGCAGGATGCAAAGACCCAGTGCCAAACACACACCCTGGGTGCACCCTGAGCCACCCCTCCTCACTCGCCATGTGCAGAATGTTGTCAAGTATTCTCAGTGATAAAAATGCTGTCTACAGAATAAATACTATCTACAGTCCCAGAATCTCCCAGTCTGAGGGTTTCTCGGAGGGCATGTGGCTTGAATATTCCCACGGAGTCCCCGCTTCCATATTCTGCTCTGGGATTCTGGAACTGAGATCTGCAAACCTTTCCCAGATCACCACCAGCAGGGAAGTTCCAGAAGGTTCTGCCAAACAGCAGCACTGGCAGAGACCTGGAAGGTGGGAGAGAGGAAAGCCACCCTCCATTCCAGCACCCGACCGGCTCCAGCTTCTGCCAGGTCTCATGTCACCGCTGGAGCCTGGCCTTGGGGCTCAAGACCTCCGAGTCACACTCCCCTGCCCTCTGGGCCTGCGTGCCTACCGGGGAGTGCTCTCCTCTGAGCTCTGCCACGCTGGGAGCCCAATCCCCCTCTTAACTCCTGGGCCTCAGGGCAGCTGCTGCCTCTCTCCGGTTCTGATATCAGGGCTGCCCGTTGCCCTGGGATAAATGCCCCCCAAAACGCCCACACTCCAGTCCCCACAACCTGTGAGCAAATGCTGTCCCATGGCAAAATGGGCTTTACAGATGCAAATAAGGTTACTGACCTTAAAACAGGGGGAGTATCTGGGACTATCCAGCAGGCAGAGGGCAATGACATGAACCCTGGAATGCAGGGAAGCTTCTCCAAGCAGACACGGAAGAGAGTCTGCAGAAAGGGACTGCAGAGGGTTTGAAGCGATAGAAGGTCTCAAGCCACTCCTGATGATTTGAAGACGTCGGGTGGGGAAGGGGACATGATGGGGAGTGCAGACGGCCTCACGGGGCTGAGAGGCTGAGAGTGGCGAGGAAGGGGGACCCCTGTCCTGCACTACAAGGACTGGACTCTGCACACTCCCTGGATGGCCCTGGAAGCAGGTTCCCTTCTCAGAGACCCCAGATAAAGCCCAGCCCAGTCAACGCCTCGATTTCGTCCTTGTGAGACCCTTAGCAGGGGACCCAGTGCAGCCCCTGACTCCTGGCCCACAGAGCCGTGGGCGATGAATGTGAGCTGCTGTGGCTGAGTAAGAGTCACTGGTTACGGCACCCACAGGAACCTGATGCATTACACAGAGGACCCAGAGCAGTAATGCGGTGCCCCAACAGCACACACAGCAGGGACGACAGCCAGACAGCCACGACCCGCCACCGCTGCTAATAGTTTATCCCATCCACTCACAGTGCCAATGCAATTAAAGGAAAATTAAGATGTCCAACTTTCCAAAATAACAAGAAATTAAGCCAGAGCTAGCACACAGAAATACATTCTTTAACAAATAAAATAATCCAGCGGCCCAACAGCACAAGGCCTGAAATGCCACTGTAAATTTTAGGAATTCCTGAAGCCGGAACCACAGCTGCAAGCACTCCTCTGAGGCCTGATCGGGCCATTGCCTGTGGTGCCATGTCTGGGTTTACGTATGGTAAAGATTTCCAGGAGGACTTATGGGCCCGTTATGAAGGCACTTCTGCTGAATCAAGATTTCCACTGGACTTTTCACACAGCGCCTAGGCAAAGGAGTGTTTGCAATCCACCCACTGCAGGCAGCATGAGGACACAGGGGTCCAGACATGAGACAGAACCATGATGCTGGTCCCTGCCCAGGCAGCCATGGTGCAATTCCGTTCTCCATCAGGGGTCCCATGGACTGAGACAGACTCTCTCCTCTTTGTCCCTCTTACTCTACATGGCTCTTCCTGACCTTTCAGACGCCTGAGCCACGAAGCCCTTCTCTCCCTCCAAAGTGACTTCTCTTGTTCTACCCCCTCCCCGCCGCACCCACCTCCTCCCACTCCCCTGGTGTAACCACGTCACATCCCACCGGAGCAACTGGAACATGCCTTGTGCGGGGCTCCCCACACCCCAGCCTCCACGTCCTGCAAACACAGCCCCGCCGGCTGTCAGCCACGCTTCCAAAGCCAGGCCAGTCCCTGACGTTGTGACAGGCCGCCATCCTGTGCAGCTGGTCTGCTCCTGGCCCAATGGACTGACACCCTCCCTGACAACCCAGAAAACAAGGAACCCCAACCTCAAACAACAGATGACAGCCTGGAGGTAGCAGGGAGTGAGCAGAGCAGGCAGACGTGGAAGCTGCAGGCTCAGGGGAGGGGCCAGGCACCATGCCCATGACAGCCCATCCCACCACCCCACCCCTAAGCCCGGCCAGGCCCAGGCAGCTCTCACGTGCACAAAGTGTAGGAGGGAACTTGGAACGTTGGAGGAAGTGGGGTGTCCCTCAAGGGATGTGGTCTTAATGATCATTCTGCACCAGTGGTAAAATTGCCTCTACCTTGGGCTCCATGTGACCATTCAGAAATGCAAGTGGCTGCACTTTCACTCCAATTCCTACAAAAATGCTCAAATCCACTGCAGCCAAGGCACTTCTCTAAAACAGGCCGAAAAACCGCTGGAGCCCAGCAAGGAATCATGGGCTAAGAAACCTGGAGCCAGTTGAACCAATGTGAAGTCTTATAAAATACCAAGTGATACCAAGCAGCAGACATCTCACACAATGGGCTCTGCATAAAACCTCGTTCCACCTCCAGCTGTACTTTGTTTTGTTGCAGTATGGATAGGGTCATCCTAATTTTGTCCTTGCTTTGCATGCATAAAATAGGTGTGGGCACCGCAATAATACAGCGGATATAATAGGTCCAGAGCAAGGAACCGGCGACCATAACTCATGACCCCTGAGTCTCCCGTCTCGCCACATCTTTGAATCTCCTTTGAATTATCCCAGCAGTGTTTTGTAGCTTTCAGTGCATGGGTCTTGCACGTATTTATTCAATGCTTTCCCTACATATTTTATATTGCTTGAAGCCATTGTAAGTGATATCCAGCTGTTCAGTGCTGGTGTAGAAAAATTTGTTCAGAGAAATTTGGGTTTTGAATATTGACATTCTGTTTTGCAGTCCTGAAGTCAACTCAATAATTAGTAATTTAGTATCAGAACTAATGTTCTAATAACTTTAAAATTTCCCTTAAACTTGAAACTTAAAATTTCCATAAACTTGATCATGGCACCTACAGAAGAAAGTGGTTCCTCTTCTTTTCCAACATGGATGCCTGAGTTATTTTCTTGCCTTGCTGCCCATGGGACTCTCCAGTGCAACCTAAGTCTAATGTAACTCAACTCAGAGGTCCTGGCCTTGTCCCAGGCATGGGGAAGCACATCTGGAGGTTGAGGCTGTGGATGATGAAAGCTGCAGGTTTTCCATGAACGCCCTTTACCAAGTTGAGGAACGTGCCTTCTTTTTCTGTTTGCTGTGTGCTTTGTTTCCTCTTGTTTCACGAGTGGCTGCTGGACTGTATCAAATGCTTGTATTGTGTATATTGAAGTAATCATACTGTGTCTTGTTGGAATACTTTCCCTCATTCTTTTTAATACTGTGAATTACATGGATTGAGTTTCAGATGTGAAACCAACCCTGCATTCCTGAGATGATCTGCATTAAGTCAGGGTGGACTGCCCTCTGCTGGATTGGAGGTGCTAATGTTTTGCTATGGACTTCGCATCTACGTTCATAGACTCCCTGGTGTTTCGTTTTCTTTTCTGTGCGATGGCTTTAGTTTTTGTACCAGGATGCCGAAGCAAAGAGGGAAAACTTCCACCTTCACCCTCGGAAAGTTCACAGAAAATACACTGACAAAAGGTGGATTAATAGGAGGAAAAGCATAGAAATTTATCTTAACATTAACAGCATGGGAGAATCACAGGAGAATAATTACCCAATAACCCAGTGAGGTCCACATCCTTCTTCACAGGGGAGGGGAGATGGGGGTGTGAGAGGAAATGATTTTCAGGAGGGAGTGAATGGACCCTGGAGGCAGCGTTATCAAAGATTCTCTGGTAATTGAATGAAACCTGAGAACAAACAATGGCTTGGGACAACGTTGGCAGTTCACTCGGTGCCAGGAAGTTCACCTGGGCTCCAGGAAGTTCACCCAGGCTCCAGGAAGTTCACGTGGGCCCTAGGAAGTTCACCTGGGCTCCAGGAAGTTCACCCGGGCTCCAGAGGTTCACCTGGGCTCCAGGAAGTTCATATGGACTCCAGGAAATTCACGTGGGCTCTAGGAAGTTCACCTCGGCTCCAGGAAGTTCACCTCAGCTCCAGGAAGTTCACCTTGGAAGTTCACCTGGGCTCTAGAAAGTTCACCTTGGCTCCAGGAAGTTCACCTTGGCTCCAGGAAGTTCACCTTGGGTGCAGGAAATTCGCCCAGGCTCTGGGACATTCGCTCAGGCTCTAGGAAGTTCACGTGGACTCTAGGAAGTTTACCCACACTCCAGGAAATTCATCTAGGTTCCATAAAGTTCACCTGGGCTCCAGGAAGTTCACCCAGGACCTAGGAAGTTCACTTGGGCTCCAGAAAGTTCACCTTAGCTCTAAAAAGTTCACTCGGGTTACGGGAAGTTCACCTGGCTCTAGGAAGTCCACCTAGTCTCCAGGAAGTTCACCCAGGTTACAGGAAGTTCACCTGGGCTTTAGAAAGTAAACGGAGGCTCTAGGAAGTTCATGAGAGCTCTGGGAGGTTCACCCTTGCTCCAGGAAGCTCATTCGGGTTCCAGGAAGTTCACTTGGGCTGTAAGAAGTTCACCTGGGTTCTAGGAAGTTCGCCTGGGCTCTAGAAAGTTTGCCTGGGCTCTAGGAAGTTCACTTCTGCCCTAGAAAGTTCATCCAGGCTCCAGGAAGTTCACCTGGGCTCCAGGAAGTTCACCCGGGCTCCAGGAAGTTCACGTGAGCTCCAGGAAGTTCACATGGGGGCCAGGAAGTTCACATGGGCTCTAGGAAGTTCACCCATGCTCCAGGTAGTTCACCCAGGCTCTAGGCAGTTCACCTGGTCTCCAGGAAGTTCACCTGAGCTCTAGGAAGTTCACCTGGTCTCTGGTCTCCAGGAAATTCGTGTGGGCTCTAGGAAGTTCACCTGGGCTCTAGAAAGTTCACGAGAGCTCTAGGAAGTTCACCTGGGCTCTAGATGTGGTGTCTGACGTTCAGAATCCTCCTATGTGATGTGAATTTTTATCTTCTCTGGTTCATGGAATTTCAGGGAAGGAATGGAAAGCAATTTTGTTTCTCTTTGGGGGTCTGGTTTCTTGGTAGACGAGAGCCTTGGGAGAGTGGCCTTCTCCTATGCTTGGAAGAGGCAAGGGGTCAAGAGATTTTGGAGCTCGAATAGACCTTAGGGCTGCTTCTTTGGATCCTTATTTTGAGGTATCATTTTCTGAGCCCCAACAAGGGCAACACAGGCCTCATAATTGGTTGGGAAGTGTTCCATGCACCTCTATTTTCTGAAAGAGTTTAGGTGGGATTGATATAATTTCTTCCATCATGGTTGATGAATTCACCAGTGATGCCATCTGGGCCTGGACTTCTTCTTGGGAAGTTCTTAAGTTACAAATTCAATTCTTTTAAGAATTATAAGGCTATTAGGATGTTCTATTTTTTCTTAAGTTTTAATAATTTGTGTCTTCCAAAGATGTTAAAGACTTACAAAGATTCTGTTGAATGACTATGGTAAAATTGTTCCCTAAGACCCTTTTAACTGTCTCTAGGATTTGAAGTGACATCCCTCTGTCATTCGCAGTATCAGTAATATCTCCTCTGTTTTCATCTTACCTACTATAGGTTTATCAAATTGTATTGGCTTTTTTTCAAACAACCTACATTTGGGTTCATTACCTTTCTTACTGTTTGCCTATTTTCTGGTTTCACTGTTTTCCTGTTTTCTAAATCTAACCAGTGAATTAACTTTATTTCCTCCCTTCTACTCAATCCTAGATAAATTCACCCTACTTCTCAGCTTCCTAAGTTCAGAACTGCATCACTGATTTTGATCGTTCTCCTTTTGCAATGTAATGCCAGAAAATTCTCTCTAAGCACAGCTATCTTCATCTTCTACATTTTAATGTTGTGTTTTCATTTTTATTCCCATCGCTGTATTCTACCTTTCTTTGTGGTTTGTTCTTGGACCCAGTGGATTATTTAGAAGTTCAGACACCTCCAGCAGTGTGGACACACCAAGCAGATGACACACGTATTGAGTTCTGATTTGGTTTTGGTTTTTTGCTTTAGAAAATTTAGTGTAGGACCGCATGGGCGCTCACAACTTTCATCCCAGTGCCTTCAGAGGCTGAGGCGGGAGAACTGCTTGAGCCCAGGAGTTCATGACCAGCCCGGGCAACACAGCAAGACTGTGTCTCTATAAAAACATTTTTAAAAATCAGTGTAGCCCTGAAACACAGGCAACACCATTAGCTTAATGCTCATGGTGTAAACAGGAGCTTGCTGGCCTTGGTTCCATGCTCCCCTGTTGGCATCAATATTGTACCACTTACTACTGTAAGACAGACAAGGCGGGAGACCCAGGGCTGTGTGGGGGTTGGCGGGTGGGGATGAGCACGTGGCTGACGTGAACTGCCACGGTGCAGAGTCCCCGGGGGCGTTCAGGGCAGGGCTAGCATGTCAGGATGACAACCGCAAGGCCGGCCAGTGGAGAGCGCTTCCAAAGCATCCTAAGATCTCGGGGAGCATGAGCTCATGGACCCCAGGTAGAGCTGACCAATGCCTACACACCCTGCACAACCCCCAGGCACCCTGGGCTCCCTGAGAACATGAGAGAGAGCTCCAGGCCTTGGCTGTGTCTCGGGGAGGCCGAATCGTCCGTCATCACATATACCCACATATGCGTGTACAATATTACACATTGCACATACCATACAGAATGTGTGTGTCCCAATTCAGTTTCACCCTTAATCCTGAGTCCAGGATTCTTATCCCCCAAGGGAATCATTCCTACCCTCTTCTCCCACTCCGGCCCGTGGAAGGGAGCACTCAGCTTCCAGGTGCAGCGGGTGAGTGGATAAAAGGCGTCTCCACTGTGGCTTCCAGGGCACTGGGGGATTGTGAACTGGTGAGGAGGGGAAACACCGAGGAAAACAAGGTCTTTGCCAAAGACTCAAGGTCTCCCTACTGTCTGCCGCCTGTTGTCACGGCAAGTGCAAGTGAGTTTTCGTCTCCCGGCCCATCGTGCACCCACGGGGCAGGCACAGCCACAGCAGCCACTCCGTCCCCACCGCGTCCTCCGCAGCCCTACGCGGGCCCAGCGTCCCGCCGTGGAGGACCTCCCCTCCGAGGGCTGCGGGAGAGGCGGGAGGAGTCAGAGATCACAGGCAGGGGAAGGAGCGCACAGACAAGCCACGGGGCTACGGAGCCCCCCACCCCCTGCCCGCCAGCCAGCCCCGTCGTGACCATCACGCGGCCGTCGCCTCCGGAGCCCATCCCGGTGAGCGCAGGTGGCTGGAGGCCTTCCCTGAGGGCCCCGCGGCAAAGCGGCCTCCAGCGGACACACGACCAACCTGCACGCCCGCTGAGCCTGGGGAGGAGGCCCTGCCCGTGCACACGAGGGCGCGTCTGGAAACAACACGAGCTGCGGGGCGGGGCGTGCGCGGGGCCCTGGGGCGTGTGGGGGCCATCAGGTGGGGGCTGGGCCACGGGCCCTGCGCTGCCTTTTGCTCCCCACCGGCCCTGCGGCCCCTTCCCTCTGCTTCTGTTTAGGGTCAGGCATGTCCGCCTCCCTCACAGGCCATCGGAGGCTCTGAACCCTGTCCCTGGGAGGCAGCTGCGCCCCATCCCTCCGCTCTGGCGCCCAGGCCTCTTCACAGAAGAGGCCCTTTTCAAAGGGTCCACTCCGGTCTTCTGCCCCTGTCTATTATGTCGCTTGTCTTATTACTGAGTATTAAGAATCCTTGTAGATTCCACATACGAGTCTTGTGTTGGATGCGTGCTTTACAAATATGTTCTCCCAGTCTGTGGTTTGTCTTTTCATTTTGAAACAAGCTTTTCAAAGAGTAAAATTTGTTGATTTTGATGTCAATTTTATCTCGTTGTTTTTCATGAATGCCTTTTGCGTCCTGTCTAAGCAATATTTGCCTACTTCAGGGGCTGGCAAACTATGGCCCATGGCCCGGATACCAGTGTTTGTAAATAAAGTTTTATTGGCGCAGTGCCATGCTCATTGTGTGGACCACCTTCAGGCCACAGCCATTGAGTTCAGTCATTGCCACAGACCTGCAACCCACCAAATCCAGGATATTCACTCTGCCCATTTCAGAAAAAGTCGGCCCCCCCAACCTGCCCAAAAGTTACACAGATTTTCTTTGACATTTTCGTCTAAAGTTTTGCAGTTTTAGTCTTTTTGGGGTTAAGTTTATGTATAGTGTGAGGTAGGGATCAAGGTTCATTTTTTTTCCCCATGTGGACACTCATGATTATTCCAGCAACTTTTCTTCACTCTGCTGAGGCACCTTGGCACCTTTAACAAAAACCTATTGATCCCACACATGTGGGTCTATTTTGGGACTCTGCTGTTGCTTTGATCAATGTGTTTATCCTTACAGCAGTGCCATGGTGTCATTACTGTTGTTTTATAGTGAGTCATGAAACCAACTCGCCAGTTTCTACAGAAAAAGCCTGCTGGATTTCAACTTGGATTGCATTAAATCTATGGTTCCATTTGGGGAGAACTAATGACTCATGCATACTGAGCATCCCTGTCTCTCTTCAGGTTTTGATGTTATCTCTAATTTCTCTCTACAGTGCAGAGTGGCTTGCAGTGTACAGGTCTTAACACCATGTTAAATATATATAACATATATATATCATGGTTCTTGCTGACATTGTAAGTAGAATTTGTTTAATTTCATTTTCCAACTGTTCATTGTTTGCCCATGGTCTTACTTTTAAGAATAACAAAATCCTGTCCAAAGCCCACAAGAAGACCACCTCGCAGCTCATTAGTCAAAATTACACCACTGGCTGGGTCCTATAGTCGGTGAAGGTGCAGGTGGTGTTACCAAATCACCATACTGAATCTAAGGGTTTGATTTGTGCAAAAAACACAGAGTAGGGGTCTTTCTACAGCTCAGAGACCTCACCCCTTTACTCACCCAGTAACACCAACATCTTGTGGTCCCTTAATGTTTTTGGAGAGTCAAACCTGGTGAGGAGCTCTGGGCAAAGATTTTTTCCCCCAACCACCCTCTCCTGCCCTGTAGTCTTGGGCCCCAGTTCAGAAGAAGGAGCCTGGTACAGCCTGGACCTTCCTGCCCAAATCCATCTCCCACCATGAGACCCTTGAGCAAAGCTCAGGCCACTCCACACTGGCACAAGTTTCTCAGACACCACAAATCTGGAGCCCGGGTGGAGGCCAGCTTCCCTGCCCACAGGGTGACCTGTGGCCTCACTTCTCTCTATGTCTGAGGCCAGCACCTCCTGCATTGGGGTGAAAACCTGAGGACACTGGTTTTGGGGGAAACTGGAGCACCAGACCACCCTGGTCCCCCCATCCCCCCGCCAACTTCACAGTCTGAAGCAGGAACCAGAGGGGCTTCATGGGCCCAGGGCGGCCTTCCTATGCTCCGGACCAGGATGCAGAAGGCAGAGCCAGCAGGTACCCCACCATGATGGAAACTTCGACCAGCTCTGCATTTGCTGCTGTTCTAATCCTTACAGGAGAGATAGGCAGGTGCCGCAGGTTCTGCACACCCGGGCTCCTTGACGTTTGGACAGACTCAGTTCTGATTGAGGTCTGAAGAGCCTTTTGTTGAATCTCTTTCGAATAAGTAAAAGATATTTTCGGCCAGGTATGGTGGCTCACACCTGTAATCCCAGCACTTTGGGAGGCCGAGGTGGGCAGATCATGACGTCATGAGATCGAGACCATCCTGGCCAACATGGTGAAACCCCGTCTCTACTAAAAATACAAAAATTACCTGGGCATGGTGGCACACGCCTGTAGTACCAGCTACTCAGGAAGCTGAGGCAGGAGAATAGCTTGAACCCGGGAGGCGGAGGTTACAGTGAGTCAAGATGGCACCATTGTACTCCAGCCTGGCAACAGAGTGAGACTCTGTCTCAAAAAAAAAATAA
Source organism: Homo sapiens (assembly GCF_000001405.40). NCBI lineage: Eukaryota > Metazoa > Chordata > Mammalia > Primates > Hominidae > Homo > Homo sapiens. Next base: position 146,924 of record NT_187527.1, on the reverse strand, counting down.
AAAATAAAAAATATTTTCAGCATCAAAACCTGTAAAGCCAGACATTGTAGATGTTCAGCTCAGCTGAACTGGAGAAAACAGAAGTTTATTTTCCAGAAGTGGAAAATATCAAGATTCTGTGGATCCCAGGCTGGGACCTGGGGCGTATTCACTGTGTAGATGTAACCGAGCAGAGGAGCCAGGAGAGCTGTGCCCTCAGCCCCTACTCGGAGATGCACTCACAGAATCTCATTGAACCAAAAGAGCATTCAGTGAGAAAAGGAATCCAGCTCGATCAGCGTCTGCTCTGCATTCCGTTCACGCTGTTCCTTTGAGCAGAAAGGAATTTAAATGCCTAAAATAAACAGCATTTTATGACTGTCTTTATCTCACTCTCTCTGCTTGTGTGTAACATTTGTCATCATAAACTCAAAAGTAAAATGAATACATTTTTTCAAAATACCTGTCTTTGGTTTCAAAACTAGCTTTGGGAATGTTTTAATGAGTTGTTTTCTCTCTAGAATGTTCCCTTGGTGTGTTTGGTCTGCAGAGTAGCTTCAGAATGAATTTCTCTCTCTCCTTTTGAAAGAACTTCAACCAAAAGATTTGTTTCTGCCGTTAAACCAGGCACTGGAGTTCAGCTGACATCAGCTAATTAAAGCCCTGCTCAGATGCCTAGCCACACCCCGTTCCACATCCTCCTGTTCTGGGGCAGACACAGAGGCCAAGTGTTGGCCACTCAGAGGCTGTGAAGCTTTCCCAACAAGGGAGCAGGCGTCCCTGACCAGGGAGGATTAGAGGGGGCTGGGCATTCTTGGGGCTGGGCATGAGCTGGGCAAAGCTCAGAGGAAGAGTGGCCTGTGCTCCTCCGGGTGGAGGAGGACCAGCTGAGTCTGATGTCTGCTTCTGAAACCCTTACTGTGGTCAGTTCTGTCCACCTGCTGAGGCCAAGGCACTGGGTTTTGTCATCCTGAAGCCCCTCCCGCGTAGCAGCCGCTCCTGGGCCTGCATCCTGGGTCATCCCGTTCCCCTACGGGCATGGCGGCTACCTGTGAGTCACAGGGCAGCCTGGACCCGGGACCTTGCTAAATAAAGCTGCTGGTTCCAGCCAAGGCATGGCCTTCTGGAGGGACGGGCCCGTGGGAAGGCTGCCTGGTTGGAAGGCGCAAGGTTAGCGGCGACCCCTGTCCCAGGGAGGCTGAGATGTGCTGGAACAGGATGCTGCCCTGGCTACCTCCGCGGCCCTGGACAACCGTAAAGGCTGGAACTCTCCACGCCGGACGAAAAGGGCCGGGCTGATGTGAGGACAGCACGGCCAGGGCCTTCGTGGGTCTCGGGGCTGAGATAGCCGGCAGGACCAGCCCAGTGCATTCCACCTAGAGCCGCACAGCGCCGTCCTGCACATGGAGCTAGGCAGGACGGGGGACTCCCGGGTGGGGCGCTCTACTCCCCGTGCAGAACCTCTCACCTCACAAGGCTCTGAGAAAGTCAACTCTATAAAGGCTGGGTCCCGAGAGCTCTGGAAAGCCCCGTAAACCACCACCCCCAAACCCCGCCCCAGGCCAAGGTTTCCAGGAAGGGGAAGGGTCCAGGAGGGGAAGAGGCAACGTGCCCACAACCCTCCCAGGATACTAATTCCCAAGCAGGTCCCTGCAACTGTGCATTTAAGTTGAGGGGTCAGGGGGCTGGAGGGGAGGGGCACCACCAGCCAGGCACCACCTGCCCACTCCCCACTCAGCCTAGCTGCTGTCTGAGGTCTGTGGCCGCAGCCTTTGTGAGAGCCAGAGTGGTCTGCACTGGGGGTTAGAGATGGAGGCTTTATCAGGTCATGGGTCAACTTAGTGTCAGGGAGACTTTTCAAGGGGGGCTGTGCAGTCCACCAGGGCACCTGGCGCCCGAGGCCTCTCTGGGGTACTCACGGCGGTGGATCTCCACCAGGACCACTCCCACAGGGGCTCCAGAGCACTGCCATTCCGGGCCTGTCCCCTCTGCACTCACTGGGCCGCTTCCAGAAGGAAACACTGTCCCTCACCCACTACTGAGCAGGGGATGAGTGAGGCCCCCTCCTGAGGGGCCAAGGGGCTTCTGCTCTCAGCACCCAGAGGCGCAGGGTTGCGGCATCAAGGGGCTTCAGTTGTGGGCACCTACTCTGAGTTCTCTACGCCTCCTGACCGATGTTAGGAGGGTCCCTTTGTCCCTTCCCTGGCCCCAAGCTAGAAGCAGCCATGTCTGCAGGGAGCTTTGCTTCCTCCCAGGGAGGAACAAATTCACAGAAGGTGCCTGGACTCAGCTTGCTTGGTGAGCCACTGTTTCTTTCCTGCATTGGTACCGAGACTTCCAGCTCAGCCTCAGGACTACAGGCATTTTCTTAACCTCATCAACTGCGATCCGTCCGGCCTTCTCTGCCTTCTCCAGTCCCCGAGAATCCCAGGGGCCAGTAGTGTCTGCTCCACCTCACCAACCACAGGCCAGTGCCCACCTGAGTGCGGCGGCCTGGGCCTGGGATTGGAGCCCCGAGAGAGGAGCAGTCACATGACAGTGCAGGTGTCCTGGTGCGACCCACGGGCCGGCTTCCTATTCTCAGACCACGGCTCCAATCCGTGGCCGTGTCTTTGACTTCCACGCACTGAATCAGTGACTTTCCACTTTTCTCATCTGTGAAATCAGACCTTTATGCCATTTGGGGGGGCCATGGTCATGGGGAGGGGCCACAGAAGTCTCCGCGGGTGTGATGTCTCCCCATCCCCCGTGCGTGCCCTCTGCCCACACGGTCTTATTCCGTCCCCGAGGCTGCGAGACATCACTGCTGTCCAGTCCGTCCTGCAGATGTGGAGCCGACTGGGGGCTGCAGGGTTTCCCTGGGCCTCCCCCAGACCCTCCAGATGCAAAGTGGATTCAAACCCCTTTGTCTGACTCCACGGTCAGAGTGTGGTGCGGCAAGGCCTGGACCGTTCTCTCTACTCTCAAGGATTTTTTTTCCCCAAGGATGATTTTTCATTCAACTCATCTGCTGGAAAGTCTTCTGAGGTAATGGGAGGAAAAAAAATTAATCTGGGAAATTAGTTCAGTAAAAATATTTTTTCTGGAGAAGCCCAAAAAGTTAGGAAGTTGGCCCAGGAAGAAGGTTCTGGAGAACTATGGTGGTGTTTTTCCTGTTTGGTTTCTAGAAAAGCAAAATCAACTTCCCAGAAAACACGCAGGACAATGCCTCGGGGACCCTGATTCTCCTTGCCACCCTCCATCCTGCTGGCACCTTGAGTTCAGGGTGTCGGTGCTACTTTTTAAGTTAGAAAGGGAGAGAGAGAAAAAAAAAAAAAAAAAAAAAAAACAGAAAGAAGGCTGGGGACAGTGGCTCACTCCTGTAATCCCAGCACTTTGGGAGGCCGAGGCAGGCGGATCACCTGAGATCAGGAGTTCAAGACCAGCCTGGCCAACATGGTGAAATCCTGTCTCTACTAAAAATACAAATATTAGCCAGATGTGGTGGCTGCCTGCTGTAGTCCCACCTACTCAGGAGGCCGAGGCAGGAGAATCGCTTGAACCTGGGAGGCAGAGGTTGCAGTGAGCCAAGATCGTGACATTGCACTCCAGCCTGGGCCACAGAGTGAGGCTCCAAAAAAAAAAGCCGGACGCAGTGGCTCACGCCTATAATTTCAGCACTTTGGGAGGCCGAGGCAGGCAGATCACAAGGTCAAGAGATCGAGACCAGTGGGAGTGGGACCAGGTCCAGTCCTGGGGGAGCTCTAATCCTTTCTGAGAGACTCTCCTCCCGGGGCAGCTTCCTCACACACTTGTGCTGATCAACATTCAGCTGAAGACGAGGCCCTCTCCCCAGGCCTCCATGCCCCTCCCACCTGTAGGGTGCTTCTCCCATGGACTCCACCAGCTTTGGGCCCTTGGGATCCAGTTCCATCTCCTTAACCCAGGAAGCCCCAGGTTCTGCCTCGGCTCCCTGCCCTGCACCACAGCCTGGAACCTCTTCCCTGAGCTGTGGCATCAGCAGGTCTCACCCTCTCTGTTTCCTGCCTCCCAGGGATCAGTGTCCTTCATTACTTCATATCCAATACATTAAAAACGATGGCTTATTTTTTCTTGTGTTGCAGCTGGTTTTGGTTCTGGGGTGAGGGTAAATTGGTTCCTTTTACTCCACCCTGGATGGAAGCGGAAGTCCTAAACTCACCCTTTAATCTTTCTGTGAGACAAGACGTGTTCAAAAGAAAACATTCAGTAAGGAAGATTTTAATCGGATTTTTTGTCCACGTGAAAGACTTGGGAAACACGGTGCTTAATTCAGCTGGTCGGCGTCAGCCAGCGAGGCCAGGTTTCTCCCTCGCACTCAGCCCAAACGGGACACCCAGCCATTCTCCCTCCACGCTCAGGGGCTGGGAAGATCCAGACAGGGCAGCCCCAGACCTCCCAACTCAGGAAAAGAAATTCCAGAAGCAAGGACCTTTCTCCTGTAAGTGGGGTGGAGTGGTTCCCTCTGCTGTGAGTGGGGGTGGAGTGGGTCCCTCTCCTGTGAGTGGAGTGGAGTGGGTCCCTCTCCTGTGAGTGGGGTGGAGTGGGTCCCTCTGCTGTGAGTGGGGTGGAGTGGGCCCCTCTGCTGTGAGTGGGGTGGAGTGAGTCCCTCTCCTGTGAGTGGAGTGGAGTGGGTCCCTCTCCTGTGAGTGGGGTGGAGTGGGTCCCTCTCCTGCGAGTGGAGTGGAGTGGGTCCCTCTCCTGTGAGTGGGGTGGAGTGGGTCCCTCTCCTGCGAGTGGGGTGGAGTGGGTCCCTCTCCTGTGAGTGGAGGTGGAGTGAGTCCCTCTCCTGCGAGTGGGGTGGAGTGGGTCCCTCTCCTGCGAGTGGAGTGGAGTGGGCCCCTCTCCTGTGAGTGGGGTGGAGTGGGTCCCTCTCCTGTGAGTGGGGTGGAGTGGGTCCCTCTCCTGTGAGTGGAGGTGGAGTGAGTCCCTCTCCTGTGAGTGGGGTGGAGTGGGCCCCTCTCCTGTGAGTGGGGGTGGAGTGAGTCCCTCTGCTGTGAGTGGGGTGGAGTGGGTCCCTCTCCTGTGAGTGGGGTGGAGTGAGTCCCTCTCCTGTGAGTGGGGTGGAGTGGGTCCCTCTCCTGTGAGTAGGGGTGGAGTAAGTCCCTCTCTTGTGAGTGGAGGTGGAGTGGGTCCCTCTCCTGTGAGTGGGGTGGAGTGGGTCCCTCTCCTGTGAGTGGGGCTGGAGTGGGTCCCTCTCCTGTGAGTGGAGTGGAGTGGGCCCCTCTGCTGTGAGTGGGGGTGGAGTGAGTCCCTCTCTTGTGAGTGGAGGTGGAGTGGGTACCTCTGCTGTGAGTGGGGTGGAGTGGGTCCCTCTCCTGTGAGTGGGGGTGGAGTGAGTCCCTCTGCTGTGAGTGGGGTGGAGTGGGTCCCTCTGCTGTGAGTGGGGTGGAGTGGGTCCCTCTCCTGTGAGTGGGGTGGAGTGGGTCCCTCTCCTGCGAGTGGGGTGGAGTGGGTCCCTCTCCTGTGAGTGGAGGTGGAGTGAGTCCCTCTCCTGCGAGTGGGGTGGAGTGGGTCCCTCTCCTGTGAGTGGAGTGGAGTGGGTCCCTCTCCTGTGAGTGGGGTGGAGTGGGTCCCTCTCCTGTGAGTGGAGTGGAGTGGGTCCCTCTCCTGCGAGTGGGGTGGAGTGGGTCCCTCTCCTGTGAGTGGAGTGGAGTGGGTCCCTCTCCTGTGAGTGGGGTGGAGTGGGTCCCTCTCCTGTGAGTGGAGTGGAGTGGGTCCCTCTCCTGTGAGTGGGGTGGAGTGGGTCCCTCTCCTGTGAGTGGGGTGGAGTGGGTTGCTCTCCTGTGAGTGGAGGTGGAGTGGGTACCTCTGCTGTGAGTGGGGTGGAGTGGGTCCCTCTCTTGTGAGTGGAGGTGGAGCGGGTCCCTCTCCTGTGAGTGGAGGTGGAGTGAGTCCCTCTCCTGTGAGTGGGGTGGAGTGGGTCCCTCTGCTGTGAGTGGGGTGGAGTGGGTCCCTCTCCTGTGAGTGGGGTGGAGGGGGTCCCTCTCCTGTGAGTGGAGTGGAGTGGGTCCCTCTCCTGTGAGTGGGGGTGGAGTGAGTCCCTCTGCTGTGAGTGGGGTGGAGTGAGTCCCTCTGCTGTGAGTGGGGGTGGAGTGAGTCCCTCTCCTGTGAGTGGAGGTGGAGTGGGCCCCTCTGCTGTGAGTCGGGTGGAGTGGGTCCCTCTGTTGTGAGTGGAGGTGGAGTGAGTCCCTCTCCTGTGAGTGGGGTGGAGTGGGTCCCTCTCCTGTGAGTGGGGCTGGAGTGGGTCCCTCTCCTGTGAGTGGAGTGGAGTGGGTCCCTCTGCTGTGAGTGGGGGTGGAGTGAGTCCCTCTCTTGTGAGTGGAGGTGGAGTGGGTACCTCTGCTGTGAGTGGGGTGGAGCGGGTCCCTCTCTTGTGAGTGGAGGTGGAGCGGGTCCCTCTCCTGTGAGTGGAGGTGGAGCGAGTCCCTCTCCTGTGAGTGGACGTGGAGTGAGTCCCTCTGCTGTGAGTGGGGTGGAGTGGGTCCCTCTGCTGTGAGTGGGGTGGAGTGGGCCCCTCTGCTGTGAGTGGGGTGGAGTGGGCCCCTCTGCTGTGAGTGGGGGTGGAGTGGGCCCCTCTGCTGTGAGTGGGGGTGGAGTGAGTCCCTCTGCTGTGAGTGGGGTGGAGTGAGTCCCTCTGCTGTGAGTGGGGGTGGAGTGAGTCCCTCTCCTGTGAGTGGAGGTGGAGTGGGCCCCTCTGCTGTGAGTCAGGTGGAGTGGGTCCCTCTGTTGTGAGTGGAGGTGGAGTGAGTCCCTCTCCTGTGAGTGGGGTGGAGTGGGTCCCTCTCCTGTGAGTGGGGCTGGAGTGGGTCCCTCTCCTGTGAGTGGAGTGGAGTGGGCCCCTCTGCTGTGAGTGGGGGTGGAGTGAGTCCCTCTCTTGTGAGTGGAGGTGGAGTGGGTACCTCTGCTGTGAGTGGGGTGGAGTGGGTCCCTCTCTTGTGAGTGGAGGTGGAGCGGGTCCCTCTCCTGTGAGTGGAGGTGGAGTGAGTCCCTCTGCTGTGAGTGGGGTGGAGTGAGTCCCTCTGTTGTGAGTGGAGGTGGAGTGAGTCCCTCTCCTGTGAGTGGGGGTGGAGTGAGTCCCTCTGCTGTGAGTGGGGTGGAGTGAGTCCCTCTCCTGTGAGTGGGGGTGGAGTGGGTCCCTCTGTTGTGAGTGGGGGTGGAGTGGACCCCACCACTGTGAGGAGTGGGAGGTAGTGTTGGCCTCTGCCTTTCCCAGGCTCTCTTTAACGCCTACTAATTAAGGCTGCGGCTCTGAAGCCCCAGGAGTGAGACTCTGAGAAATCCCGAGTGGCCCTTCTCCTCTGCCCCGTCCAGCCAGCAAAGGCAGACAGCAGAAGCCAGGCCCACTGATGTGGGCAGCTCCCAGCAAGGTTTTTTATTCATGGGGGTTTCCAGACCTCAGATCAGAAGAAGCTGAAACACATTGCAGACGGATCTCCATCGGAAATCTAAGACCCCACTTTCAGTCTAAAGGAAAGCAGTCCTGAAGCTGCGCCTGGCCGCGTTGCCCCTGAGTGGCTGTAACTAAGCAGCCTCCACCTGGCCGCCTTCATGCTAAAAACTTTTGACCTTAACCACAGGCACGCATCGGCTTAATGAACACCCAAGGACGGGGCACGCGGCCCAGCAACAAAAGAGACAAACCAACAGGTGGTGACGGCTCGACTCATCCGAGGCCAGGCTGTGGAGGACTCACCTTCAACACACATATCACAGCCGCTGCGAAAAATAGAAAATAAACAGACCGAGGTGACTGGGGGTTCCCGTGCTCTGTTCTCAGCTGAGGACAGCAACCAAGGGGCGGGAGCGTCGCTTTCAGGAGTGACCAACCCTCACTGTGCTAAGAAGCCTGTGGAGCCGCAGCAGGTGTCTGGGCACTCTGGGCACTGAGGCAGGAACCAGATGTGCGATTCTGCGGGCAGGTTCCGGGGACAGAGCTTTGCTGAGGCCCCAGGGTCCCGGTAAAGTCAGTCTTAACAGGGGGACCTTGGATCCGGGTGTTCTCCAGACCGAAGGGGTGATTGAATCAGAAGGGAACTTGTTAAGTTAATAAGCAGCCCTGTATGAAGCAGGGGCGTGTCTGGCAGCCAGAGACACGTGCGTGGACTCAGAACCAAAATCCAGGGCTGACCCAGCTGCCTCCCGTCTTCCCCTGTCCCTTAAATCAGGCAAACCGCATCTGTATTTGACTTTTTTTTTTTTTAATTTGGGGGTGGACTGAGAACAATAGCCAACATCTCAATATTTCATCCCTAAGTCCCTTTTCCTCCCTCTTGGCAATGTGGGCTTCCCACCCTCACCTTCTCCTGCACCTAAACCTCAGCCCCCAAATCCTCCCAGCTGTCAGCTCTGCCTAGCCCCAACCCCTGCACCCAGCACCAGGCGGGGCCTTCACCAACAGACTTTCCTGGAACGATGTAGGACTGTGCATCTGGAGCCCCAGAAATATCTACTCACTCTCAGATGAATTCCACCCCCGAACACTCTGCACACACAAAATCAGCCTAAATAGAAACCACGGTAAATGAATGCGAAAGCACAGACGCTGACACATGGTGCAGGCGTTCCGTGTGGTGTCTGTGAAGAGTGTGGGATAACTCGGCGAGAAGTAAAATACTGAGCGTCTCATCCTCCTCTTCAATGGGAAGTGTGATGGAGCAGGGAGAGGGAGCGAGAGGGGCAGAGAGAGCGTGGATCCACCTGCTTACCCTGTGCTCAGCCCACGGCAGGCCTGAGGGTCAGTGCGGGGCAGGTGCCACCCCAGACCTGGCTGGTTTATTTTGCCAGAGCGGATCACAGAGGAAGAGGAGTTCAAGCCTGCCTGGCGGGCATGGACCACACTGCACAGACCAGCTATGACAGACTGCCTGCCACAACCACATGGGTTTTATGAAGTCTGAGAGCCGGCAGAGCCAGGAGTTCTCAAAAGCCGGGGCACATGTCACCGAGGATGTTAGAACAACCCCACCCGCCTTTATCAACAGCACTGGACCACACACTTTTCTTTCATTTACTTAAAATAACGGTGTAGCTTTCAGTGCCGCTTGCAAACCCCAAAGCGCAGAAGATTTGTTTTGTTGCTCTCAGCACTTTCTCAGAATCCTAAAAGGAATTCCTAGTCCTCTGCTCCCCAGCATCTCCGCTGTTCTCCTTCGTAATGGGATGGTTTGAACTGGATCACAGCTCATCCTCCCTCTGGGGATAAACATCTGTGGTCCAGCAGCAGGGGCTGTGGGCTGTGGGTTCACACTGTCTGAGTGCTCAGCCTTTGCGGCCACTCAGCCTGGTGCAGCCATGGGAGGAAGGGCGGCACTCCCCGTAAAGACGCGGTGAGGAGCGCGCAGCACAGTCAGGAAGGACCCAGCCTGTTTCTCCACAGCAGGCGCTCTGCAGTGACCCTCCAACATCGGTCTTCCGAGCTGGGGACCTGGCACGTGGCTCAGCATCGGTCTTCCGAGCTGGGGACCTGGCACGTGGCTCGCTTCTCTTAGGTGTTAAATGGCCTTTCCATCAAACAGGCTGATGCGGCATTCAGAGCCAGGATTCATTCAGTTGATCAATCAATCAATCTATTTTTATCAGGGGCCTCCTGGGGACAGACAGTGTCATTCTTAGGGGCCCCAGGCTGACAGCCAACAAGCGGAGAGTTGGTGTGACAGGGACAAAGTGCCTGCTGGCTTCGAAATCCACCCTCCATGCCAGACAGGTGTCTGCCACCCAGTGTGGGCACCGCTTCTTCGAGAACCAGCTCCCCGTTGTCAGTGGGAGTCCACCTCTCCTCCACTGTCAGCCACGTGCACCAGGAGAGAACGATGGGTACCCAGCAGCACCCCCAGGGCACACAGCAGGGTCAGGATGCCTGGCTCCAGCCCATGGGGACATGGCAGCTCTTTTCTCTGCTGGGTCTGGACTAAGGGGAGGTTGGCTGAGGGGACAGGAGACCTGAGAATGACCACAGAAAGGAGCAGAACCAGGAGCCAGAAAAAGAAAGCTGCTTCCAACAACCTTATTTGAGTCCTGGATCCAGCCATACCTGAAGCCATCTATCCCTAGGCTTTTTTCAGTGTGTGCCCCAGAAAACTCTTTCTCACTCGAGCTTTTTGGATTTGGTTTTCTGTCACAAGCAAAATCCTGACTTCTATTCTATTCTAAACCAGCTCTGTGTCTCTTAGAATCGAGTACTGTTGATTTGAGGATCCAGTGGCCCCCCACTGAGTTAAGCCATGTGGTGGGGGGGGATCTCCTGGAGCCGCAGGTGTTAGGAAGGCAGCAATCTTGGGCCTGGCCCCAGCCCTTCCCACAGTGAGGTCAGGAACGCTAAGGACATATTCTCAGGAGTCAAGGAGCTCCATGAGGTGTGTGCGTGTGTGTGTGTGTGTGTGTATTTCATTTTGATAATCATCTGAAAACCACAAACAACAATGTTCTGGCTCATAGCGATGACAGCTCAAAGAGGAACACTGCCACATGTTCTCAGGGCAGACGCCTGCATGTGGGTTTAAAATCACATCCTCCAGGGCAGACGCTAGGGCCCTCGTGCAGCACCCTGAGAGCAAAGTGTGTGTGATGTGATGTGGAAAGAAAGTGGGAGGACAGAGTCACCACCAGCACAAAGGAGTCCAGCCACAGAGCCACGGATCCCACACCAACCGACCACCAACTGACAAGCTGCCTATGCCAGGCAGGTCTGCAAACAGGGAGGGTGGATTTCCTTACAAAGGCCATCTTACTTTCCCTGTGTACTATTTGGGGTGTACTGCTGAATTGATTGTCCCATCAATCTGATGTCTCATTAAGTAAAATGAAAAAGTTGTTAAAACCAAAGATAATGATAGTCATGATGAAGATTCAAATGATTCTTCTATCTCAAAATGATAACATTCAGATAGGGAACAAATTTCTGACGGAACTCAACACTGGAACTTGGTTTTAGCATGACCATTGTCTACCCCATTACATACGGGTTGTTACTTGGATCTGGATTGACTTTCTGGAAATCTAAAGTTATGTTTCACCAGTAACTTTGTTTTGGTTTTCATAGTGGTAAAGAAGTTATGAGAATAAGATGTTGCTGCCCAGCTTTACCTCTGCACATAGTTAGCTGCACGGAACCTGCAGTGCTGAGCCCAGCTTCATGTCTGCATGTGGTTGACTGCACAGCCGCTGCAGGGCCGAGCCCAGCTTCATGTCTGCACATGGTTAGCTGCACAGAACCTGTGGGGCTGGGCCCAGCTTCATGTCTGCACGTGATTGGCTGCACGGAACCTGCAGTGCTGAGCCCAGCTTCATGTCTGCATGTGGTTGACTGCACAGCCGCTGCAGGGCCGAGCCCAGCTTCATGTCTGCACATGGTTAGCTGCACAGAACCTGCGGGGCTGAGCCCAGCTTCATGTCTGCACATGGTTAGCTGCAGAGAACCTGCGGGGCTGAGCCCGGCTTCATGTCTGCACATGGTTAGCTGCACAGAACCTGCGGGGCTGAGCCCAGCTTCATGTCTGCACATGGTTAGCTGCACAGAACCTGCAGGGCTGAGCCCAGCTTCATGTCTGCAGGTGGTTAGCTCCAGATTCTATGGTGAGGGTGCCCTTTAGTGCTAAATCTGTGAGTGTTTCCCACACCCCCATTTCTAGACCCACTAAAGCCACACTGAGAATAAAGCGTAACACCCAGAGGATTAGCTGACACAGCTCTTCCCATGACAGCCCTGCAATAAGCAGGAGAGACGGTGCCTCCTCACCTGCCTGTGTAGGAAGCTGCTCCACTTTCATTGCCTTGTAAAGTAAATATGAGTCACTGATTTTCTCACTTTAAAAGGCAATAGATAAAATGCAGATCAATAGTATAGATGACTCTGGCTTCCTTTTGCAGTTAACTTTGATAAAGGGTATGGGGGCATTTACCACCTTAATCTGCCACTGGGACCTCATCCCAGTCACAGGCTGCCATTAGCATGTTCGATGGAAAATCATTTAAACCACACTCTTCCCACTGCCCATACACAGCAGTAGGCCCTGCCCTGCCTGTCTCACACTTACCTCCCACCACGAGTATCTAACACCTTCCCCTCCTGCCTGCATGTATAATTCTCCATATGGCACCCAGGGAAAAGACAAAGGGCTCCCCAGCACACACTATTCCACCACCCTGTAAGTCCAGACCTCCCTCATGACGGCCTTGGTTTTCCATGGTGCAGTCCAAGGAGGGAGATGTGCTGGTGCTTCCCGGCCTCCTGTCCCAGGGATGGAGACGTCCGGGCACCAGGGATGGAGACGTCCAGGCACCTCCTGGCCTCCTGTCCCAGGGATGGAGACGTCCGGGCACCTCCTGGCCTCCTGTCCCAGGGATGGAGACGCACTGGTACCTCCCGGCCTCCTGTCCCAGGGATGGAGATGCACTGATACCTCCCAGCCTCCTGTCCTAGGGATGGAGATGCACTGGTACCTCCCGGTCTCCTGTCCTGGGATGGAGACGTCCCGGCACCTCCTGGCCTCCTGTCCCAGGGATGGAGATGCACTGGTACCTCCCGGCCTCCTGTCCCAGGGATGGAGACGTCCGGGCACCCCCTGGCCTCCTGTCCCAGAGATGGAGATGCACTGGTACCTCCCGGCCTCCTGTCCCAGGGATGGAGATGCACTGGTACCTCCCAGCCTCCTGTCCTAGGGATGGAGATGCACTGGTACCTCCCGGCCTCCTGTCCCAGGGATGGAGATGCACTGGTACCTCCCGGCCTCCTGTCCCAGGGATGGAGATGCACTGCTACCTCCCGGCCTCCTGTCCCAGGGATGGAGATGCACTGCTACCTCCCGGCCTCCTGTCCCAGGGATGGAGACGTCCGGGCACCCCCTGGCCTCCTGTCCTAGAGATGGAGATGCACTGGTACCTCCCGGCCTCCTGTCCCAGGGATGGAGATGCACTGGTACCTCCCAGCCTCCTGTCCTAGGGATGGAGATGCACTGGTACCTCCCGGCCTCCTGTCCCAGGGATGGAGATGCACTGCTACCTCCCGGCCTCCTGTCCCAGGGATGGAGATGCACTGCTACCTCCCGGCCTCCTGTCCCAGGGATGGAGATGCACTGCTACCTCCCGGCCTCCTGTCCCAGGGATGGAGATGCACTGCTACCTCCCGGCCTCCTGTCCCAGGGATGCAGATGCACTGCTACCTCCCGGCCTCCTGTCCCAGGGATGGAGATGCACTGCTACCTCCCGGCCTCCTGTCCCAGGGATGCAGATGCACTGCTACCTCCCGGCCTCCTGTCCCAGGGATGGAGATGCACTGGTACCTCCCAGCCTTGGGTCTTCCTGTGATTAAAATGTGCAGTTTATTTTCTGATTTTGTTTGCAGTGCACCTGGGGACACATGAGCCAAGATCAGAATCTGGACTCACTTTTTTTCATTATTTTAAGTTCTGGGATACATGTGCAGAACGTGCAGGTTTGTTACATAGGTTACATAGGTGTACATGTGCCATGGTGGTTTGCTGCACCTGTCAACCCGTCATCTAGGTTTCAAGCCCCGAGTGCATTAGGTATTTGTCCTAATACTCTTCCTCCCCTAGCCCCCTGCCCCCTGACAGGCCCCAGTGTGTGATGTTCCCCTCCCTGTGTCCATGTGTTCTCATTGTTCGTCTCCCACTTATGAGTGAGAACATGCGGTGTTTGGTTTTCTGTTTCTTATACAGATTATTTCATCTCCAGGTACTAAGCCTAGTAACCAGTAGTTATCTTTTCTGCTCCTCTCCCTCCTCCCACCCTCCACCCTCAAGTAGGCCCCAGCGTCGGTTGTTCCCTTCTTTGTGTTCATGAGTTCTCATCATTCAGCTGCCACTTATAAGTGAGAAAATGTGGCATTTGGTTTTCCGTTCCTGCATTAGTTTGCTAAGGATAATGGCCTTCAGCTCCATCCATGTTCCCACAAAAGACATAATCTCATTCTTTTTATGGCTGCATAGTATTCTGTGATGTATATGTACCATTTTTTTATCCAGTCTCTCATTTATGGGCATTTAGGTTGGTCCCATGTCTTTGCTATTGTGCATAGCGCTGCAGTGAACATTCACCTACATGTATCTTTATGGCAGAATGATTTATATTCCTTTGGATATACATCCAGTCATGGGACTGCCGGATCAAATGGTAGTTCATTTTCAGCTCTTTGAGGAATCACTACATTAGTTTCCACAAGGGTCGAACTAATTTACACCCCACCAACAGTGTGTAAGTGTGTTCCTTTTTCTCTGCAACCTCACCAGCATCTGTTATTTTTTGACTATTTAATAATGGCCATTCTGACTGGTGTAGGATGGTCTATCATTATGGTTTTCATTTGCATTTCTCTAATGATCAGTGATATTGAACCTTTTTTCATATGCTTGTTGGACGCACATATGTCTGCTTTTGAAAAGTGTTTGTTCATATCCTTTGCCCACTTCTTAATGGGGTGGTTTGGTTTTGACATGTAAATTTGTTTAACTTTTTTATAGATTCTGGCTCTGTTAGACTATTATCAAATGGATAGCTTGCAAAAATTGCTCCCATTCTGTAACCTACAGAATGTCTACTCTGTTGATAGTTTCTTTAGCTGTGAAGAAGCTCTCTAGTTTAATTAGATCTCATTTGTCAATTTTTCTTCTGTTGCAATCACTTTTGGCATCTTCATCATGAAATCTCTACCCGTCCCTATATCCAGAATGCTATTGCCTAGGTCACCTTCCATAGTTTTTATAGTTTGGGTTTTTACACTTAAGTCTTTAATTCATCTTGCATTGATTTTCGTACATGGTGTAAGAAATGGGTTCAGTTTCAATCTTCTGCTTATGGTTGGCCAGATATCCCAGCACCATTTATTGAATAGGGAGTCCTTTCCCCATTGCCTCTTTTGGTCAGGTTTGTCGAAGATCAGATGGTTGTAGGTGTGTGGCCCTATTTCTGGGCCCTCTATTCTGTCCCATTGGTCTGTGTGTCTATTTTTGTACCAGTACCATGCTGTTTTGGTTACTGCAGCCCTGTAGTATAGTTTGAAGTCAGGTAACATTATACCTCCAGTTTTGTCCTTTTTGCTTAGGCTTGCTTTGACTATTTGGACTCTTTTTTTTGTTGTTGTTCCATATGAATTTTAAAATAGTTTTTTCCAGTTCTGTGAAGAATGTCATTGGTAGTCGGATAGGAATAGCATTGAATCTGTACATTGCTTTAGGCAGTATGGCCATTTTGATGATATTGATTCTTCCTATCCGTGAGTATGGAATGTTTTTTCCATTTGTTTGTGCCATCTCTGATTTCTTTGAGCAGTGTTTTTATAATTCTCATTGTAGAGAACTTTCACCTCCCTGGTTCACTGCATTCCTAGGTATTTTATTCTTTTTGTGGCAATTGTGAATGGTATTGCATTCCTGACTTGGCTCTCAGCATGGCTGTTTTTGGTGTATAGGAATGCTACTAATTTTTGTACATTGACTTTGTATCCTAAAACTTTGCTGAAGTTGTTTATCAGCTTAAAGAGCTTTTGGGCCAAGACTATAGGGTTTTCTAGATAGAGAAGCATGTCATCTGCAAACAGGGATAGTTTGACTTCCTCTCTTCCTGTTTGGATGCCCTTTATCTTATTCTCTTGCCTGGTTGCTCTGGCCAGAACTTCCAACACTATGTTGAATAGGAGTGGTGAGAGAGGACATCCTCATCTTGAGCCAGTTTTCAAGGGGAGTGCTTCCAGCTTTTCCTTATTCAGTATGATGTTGGTTGTGGATTTGTCATAGATGGCTCTTATTATTTTGGGTATGTTCCTTTAATACCTAGTTTATTGAGTTTTTAACATGAAGGGATGTTGAATTTTATCAAAAGACTTTTCTGCATCTATTGAGATAATCCTGTGGTTTTTATCTTTAGTTCTGTTCATGTGATGAATCATATTTATTGATCTGTGTATGTTGAACCAGCTTTGCACCCAGGGATGAGGCCTACTTGATTGTGGTGGATTATTTTTTTGACGTGCTGCTGGATTCAGTTTGCAATTATTTTGTTGAGGATTTTTGCATCAGTGTTCATCAAGGATATTAGGCTGAAGTTTTCTTTTTTGTTGTGTCTCTGCCAGGTTTTGGTATCAGGATGATACTGGCCTCATAGAATGAGCTGGGGTTGAGTCCCTCCTTCTCAATTTTTTGGAATAGTTTCAGTAGGAATGATACCACCTCTTCTTTGGACCTCTGGTGGAATTCCACTGCTTTTTTTGATTGGTAAGCTATTTATTACTGATTCAATTTCAGAGCTCATTATTGATCTATTCAGGGAATCTATTTCTTCCAGGTTCAGCCTTGGGGGAGTGCATATGTCCATCTCTTCTAGGTTTTCTAGCTTGTGTGCATAGAGGTGTTTGCAGTAGTTTCTGATGCTTATTTGTATTTCTGTAGGGTTGGTAGTAACATCCCCTTTGTCCTTTCTAATTGTGTTTATTTTTATCTTCTTTCTTTATTAGTCTAGCTAGGGACCTATCTTATTAATTTTTTTCAAAAAACCAATTTCTAGATTCATTGATTTTGTTAATGGTTTTTCATGTCTCAATTTACTTCAGTTCAGCTCTGATTTTTGTTATTTCTTGTCTTCTGCTAGCTTTGGGGTTGGTTTGCTCTTGCTTCTCTAATTATTTCAGTCATGATGTTAGGTTGTTAATTTGAGATCTTTCTAACTTTCTGATGTGGGCATATAGTGCTATAAATTTCCCTCTTAACACTGCCTTTCCGGCATCCCAGATATTCTGGTACATTGTGACTTTGTTCTCCTAAGTTTCAAAGAACTTCTTGATTTTTGCCTTAATTTCATTATTCACCTAAAAGTCATTCAGGAGCAGGTTGTTTAATTTCTATGTAATTGCATGGTCTTGAGTGATTTTTTTAGTTTTGACTTCTATTTTTATTGTGCTGTGGTCCAAGAGTGTGTTGGGTCTGATTTTGGTTCTTTTTACATTTGCTGAGAATTGTTTTATGTTCAATTATGTAGTCAATTTTAGCGTATGTGTCATGTGGCAATGAGAAGAAGGCATATTCTGTTGTTTGGAGATGGAGAGTTCTATAGAGGTCTATCAGATCCATTTGGTCCAATGCTAAGTTCAGGTCCTGGATGTCTGTTAATTTTCTGCCTCGATGATCTGTCTGACACTGTGAGTGGAGTGTTGAAGTGTCCCACTATCATTGCGTGGGAGTCTAAGTCTCTTTGTAGGTCTCTAAAATCTTGCTTTATGACTCTGGGTGCTCTTGAGTTGGGTGCATATATATTTAGGATAGTTAGGTCTTCTTGTTGAATTAAACCCTTTACCATCATGTAATGTTCTTCTTTGAGTTTTTGATCTTTGTTGGTTTAAAGTCTGTTTTATCTGAAATTAAGATTACAACCCCTGCTTTTTCCTGATTTCCATTTTCTTCATAGATTTTCCTCCATCCCTTTATTTTGAGCCTATGCGTGTCATTGCATGTGAGATGGGTGTCTTAAAGACAGCATACTGTTGGGTTTTGCTGTTTTATCTGCTTGCCACTCCATGCCTTTTAAATGGAGCATTTAGCCCATTTACATTCAAGGTTAGTATGGATATGTGTGAATTTGATCATTGTTAGCTGGTTATCATGCTGACTTGTTCATGTAGTTACTTTATAGTGTCACTGGTCTATGTGTTTAAGTGTGTTTTTGTATTGGCTGGTAACAACCTTTCCTCTTCATATTTAGTGCTCCTTTCAAGATCTCTTGTAAGGTGGGTCTAGTGGAAGTGAACTGCCTCAGCATTTGCTTATTGGAAAAGGATCTTATTTTTCCTTTGCTGAGGAATTTATTTTGGCTGGATATGAAATTTTTGGTTGAATGTTTTTTTTTCTTTAAGAATGTTGAGCCAGGTGCAGTGGCTCACGCCTGTAATCCCAGCACTTTGGGAGGCCGAGGCGGGCGGATCACGAGGTCAGGAGATTGAGACCATCCTGGCTAACATGGTGAAACCCCGTCTCTACTAAAAATACAAAAAATTAGCCAGGCGTGGTGGCGGGCGCCTATAGTCCCAGCTACTTGGGAGGCTGAGGCAGGAGAATGGCATGAACCTGGGAGGTGGAGGTTGCAGTGAGCCAAGATCGTGCCACTGCACTCCAGCCTGGGTGACAGAGAGAGACTCCCTCTCAAAAAAAAAAAAAGAATGTTGAATATGCCCAATCTCTCTGGCTTGTAGGGTTTCTGCTGACAGGTCCACTATTAGCCTGATGGGTTCCCTTTTTAGGTAACCTGCCCTTTCTCTCTCTCTGCCTTTAACATTCTTTTTTTCATTTTGACTTTGGAAAATCTGATGATTGTGTGTCTTCAGGATAATCTTCTTGTGTAAAATCTTGCAGGGGTTCTTTGTATTTCCTGCATTTGACTGTTGGCCTCTCTAGTGAGGTTAGGGAAGTTTTCTTGGATGACATCCTGAAATATGTTTTCCAAGTTGTTTGCTTTCTCCTCATCTCTTTCAGGGATACCAATGATTCATAGATTTGACCTCTTTACATAACCACATATTTCTTGGAGGTTTTGTTCATTCCTTTTTATTCTTTTTTCTCTATTCTTGTCTGACTGTCTTATTTCAGACAGTCAGTCTTTAAGTTCTGAGATTCTTTCCTCGGCTTGGTCTATTCTGCTGTTAATACTTGTGATCGCATTGTGAAATTCTTGTAGTGTAATTTTTATCTCTACCAGGTCAGTTAGGTTCTTTTTTACACTGTCTATTTCATCTGTCTGCTCCTGTATCCTTTTATTGTCATTCTTAGTTTCCTTGGATTGAGTTTTGCCATTCTCCTGAACCTCAATAATCTTTGTTTCTATCCATATTCTGAATTCTATTTCTGTCATTCCTGCCGACTCAGCCTCGTTAAGAGCCCTTGTTGGAAAACAAGGAGTGATCGTTTCAAGGATGGAAGTCACTCTGGCCATTTGAGTTGCCAGAGTTCTTGCATTGGCTCTTTCTCATCTCTGCATGTGGGTGTTCCTTTAACTGTGGTGTAAATTGAATACAGTCAATAGACTTTTGGATGTTTTCACAGGGCTGAAGCTTTGTGCAGGGTCTTTATTTATATCTGACTTCTGGTCTTTGGTTTTACAGCAGGGATATGTTAGTGAGGCATTTTTGGTGTTGAAGCTTTGGGATGTGATCCAGTAGGTGGCTCTTAGGCAGAGTGGTAAGTAGGTAAGCCCTTGCTCGGTCATGTGGCTCCCCTATATTTCCTCACAGTTGCAGCCATGCTGCCTCTCAATGCTCAATGCTCTGAGAGTGTGAGCTCCTCTCCCACTTGAGTGCTGACTATAGAGCATGGCCCAGGCCCCTTGGGACAAAAGTGTTCATCTGCACTTTGTTCCGGTATTTCTACAATTTTTATACAAATTATTGATCCTAATTTAACTAATTTTGAAGTATGTTCAATTAAATAGTGAAAGGGGTTTGTTAAATTAACTTTTTTGTGTGTGTGAAATTGGATCTTACTCTGTCTTCCAGGCTGTAGAGCAGTGGCAAGATCATGGCTCACTGCAGCCTCAACCTCCCAGGCTCAAGCAATCCTTCCACCTCAGCCTCCTGAGTAGCTGGGACCACAGCTGCACACCATCAGACCCAGCTAATGTTCGTATTCTTTGTAGAGATGGGATTTCAGCGTGTTAACCAGGCTGGCCTCGAACTCCGGGGTTCAAGCAATCTGCCCACCTTGGCCTCCCCAAGTGCTGGAATTATAGGCATAAGCCACTGCACTCAGCCCAAAATTAACTTTTAAATAAGTAAATTTGAGTAAAAAGATGGGCATATTTAAAGAAAAGTTGCAGCGAGTGGATGGTGGGAGGGCTCTGCACACGTTGGGCCGGGGTTTGGACGACGGGGGTCACACCCTGGGCCCCCAGGACTGCTCACTGCTGTGAGTCTCCACTGGCTCCACAGATCCACGCAGCCACGGCATGGCAAGGCCTCTGTTTCATGCAGTGTTTAAAAGTCAGACAGCAACACAGACGTGCGGGAAGGTTTCACCCCACGCAGAGGGCAACCAGGCAGAGAGAAGGCAACTCCCTGTCCCCAGGCTGCTCCCCAGGAGGCCCGGCACCACAGCCACGTCTGAGCCAGCGAGGCCGCTTCCCGGGCTGAGTCCCCTTGGCTTTCCTCGTGGCTGGCCACGTGCCTGCCCTGCTGCAGAGCACCCCAAAAGCCAGCTGAGGCCAGGCCAGGTGAGAGGCTCTGCCTTCCCATCAGGCACAGACCTCCTTCAAGACTAATCTGGACAGGAGTCCACCTGCGTTCCATGATGGAGAGTGGGTCTGGGAATCCCCCCAAAAACCAAACCACACGTTTGATGCACGTGCATTCTTCCATTTAATTTCCAAAATGGAACCAAAAATACAAAAGGACCTTCTTGTTACAAAAACCTGCAAACCAAGGAGTGACACCCCCTTCACACCCCCTTTCTCCACATCCCTCAAGGAGGTGACCCTGTTCCCAGCAGCAGCATCCCCACCTGGGCCTGGGCAGGCCCTCAAGGGTGGTCTGGCTGCTCCTCCTCCTCCTCCTAAATGGGGTCATGCAGGCGCTGCTGTCCTGGGACTCCCATACCCTAACAAAACGTCTGGGAAATATTTTCACTGTCTTCTTAAGCATCCTGCAGTATCCGATCCATGCATAAAAATATAATGATGTGTTCTTGTGTTCTGCCATTCTGTTCATTGGTATTTTACAAATGTTTTATGCTCACAATTTCTCACTGTTAAAGATAATGTCACAGTGAACATCTTTGCATGTACCTATGTGATAACAAGTGTGGATATTTTTAAAGGTTAAATGCTGAAAGTGGAATTTCCAGGTCAGTGTCTGCATTTTACATTCTTATAGATGAAGTCAAATTACCCTGTAAAGAGGCTATTCCAATTTACCTGCTCTTTGTATTAGTTCTTTTTTTGCTGACATAACAAATAACCACAAACCCAGTGGCCTAAAAGCACTGGCATTTACCGTGGGGCAGCGCCAGGGGTCAGAAGTCAGGAACAGGGGGCCCGGAAGGGGCTCCTCCCCTGAGCCTGCAGGTGGGAGCCCACCTTGTGAGGGCAGGATACAGATTCCCGGCCATCTGCCTACTTTAACAAGCACACACACACATACACACTCACACACCGTGTGCACACAGACACACAGATAAACATCCCACACACTTTCACACATGTGTGAACCTGCGCACACATACTCCACACTGCTCTGTTTCTCTTTTTCAAAACTTCTGAGTTACCATCAAGGACTGGTGCTTATAACACTAGTTTAGCTCAGCCAATCTCTTTCGTCACTACTATAGTTATCGAGCTACTTGTGTTTTCTATTTCTTCTGAAGTCAATTTTTAAACTTATATTCTCTCAGAAAATATGTTTGTTTAGATTTTTCTCTGAGTTTTACATAATATTTCCTTTTGTATATGTTCTTATCTTAAATTTGCCCTAATATACATTTCCAAATTACTTAAATTATTAATAGGTTTCTCTATTCTCTATTTTTATTTTCAACAAACCATCTGTGGCTTTCATTGATTAAATCTAGTATTTTGTTAACAAGGTCTAATTTTTGTTGACATTTTCTACTGTGTACATTTATTTTTAATCTTCGTTCTTCCTGCCATGTAATTGTCTTGGGTGAATATTCTTACTCTCTTACTAGTTTCTTGGGTTGGATGCTTAATATATTTATCATCAGCAAATTAAATAAGATAACGAATGTGAAAATATGTTGTTAAGTTTGAAATGTGAAGCACACAGGGGGCAGAGGTGGTGAGAGGTGCTTTGCGCCAGACCAGACCTTCCAGACTCAGGGCCCACACACCCCAGGGTTCACCCATTTTTCAGTAATCATGAATCAAATTTAACTGTCATTCGATCCTGACCAGAAGCAACAAAATGAATTCAGTTAACCGAACCTGTGGCTTTTCTACCAGAAGAAATCGCAGGCATTTCCAATCTTTTTGCAATTATTGAAGATATCTTAAAATACCATTTACAGTCATAACTTCAAAATTATGGTGGGTTTTAGACCCATCACCAGATTCTGTTTTATGCATTAATAAATTATATCATTACATCCGATCTTTAAAATTTTGATAACAGTATTTCATAGTTATTGCATTTTTATGTAAACTATGAAAACATTATTCTGAAAAAGGGTCCAGGGGTTTTGCCATATGAGCATATAAAGGATTAGAATCCCACCTGAGACCCTGGAATCCTTTGGCTTTTATAAGATGGGGGAGGCGCTGTGAAAGACCCCCACCTGACCACCATCTTGCCAGGACTTACGATGGGAGCAGCCCCTCGGGGAAGCGTGGGGCCACGGGCAGCACCCTGGCCCGATGCTCCCATCTGTCATGTGAAAGGAAATTAAATTCTGGGACCCCAGACTCATTAAGCCAGAGGGAAAAGTCAAGCTGGAAACTGGCTCGTGAAAACCTGCCTCGCACTTTTGGTTCCTAAATAAGACAGCTGCAAGATGAAAAGCCACCCGCCTCCCCGGTGTTGCCCTCATGGAAATTCCTAGCGCCGCAAGATCTCTGAAGGTGTTTCTGTTAAAATTTCTCCATGCATGTAAACGGAAGGCTTATCTTTACAGGTGCCGTCACCTTCCTGCCCGTCAGACACAAATGCATATCTGATTGCTCCCCTGCCCTGTTTGTCTGTGTTACGTAAAATACAGATTCCCTTGTTCTTCCTCTATGCCACTTGTCTATGTCGTCTTATGTAAAAAATGCAGATTCACTGAGCCAGACAAAGGCATGAATGTTTCTCCCTACCCGCCTCTTACATGAAAATTGTGTACTTCCCAGTATCTCGCCCTTTGCCTTTTAAATTTGGAGCCCTCAAAACCTCAAAATCATCTCCGGAGAATGGCATAGACCTGAATCCCAGGGATGTGTCCTGAACTTTGGCAAATAAACCTCCACAGATGATTGAGACTTGTCATTTTTCTCGACTGACATCTGGAGAGATCCTGAGTGAAGGTGACCCGGCCTGCAGCAGCTCACCTATCCGTGCTTGGCACCGGCTTGGGCACCTCACAGCCCAAACTGATAGGACGATTTGCCGAAGTCTGGGAGCCCTTTCCTCCAGGGATCCCTGATCTTCCAGGGTTTTTCATTTGGGGGTCTGGAATTTATTTGCTGTTTAAAAAAATTCCTTTTTGTGGGGGGGAGTTTCCACTGGCTTCCATCAAGGAAGGCGAGCTCGTCTGCGTCTGCATCAGTGGTCTTCAGCTGTGGCCCCATCACTAGGAAAGAAACTGGTTTGGGGTTCTGTCTTGCAAATTCTTTTTAAATGACTAAAGTTAGCATTAACACATTAACAGCTGGTATTCATTTCTGCTTACACTGAGAGCGCTCAGAAATCGTATAATTTGCGTGATCATTGTTAGTTTTGCATCGCTGTGTTGTTGCTTGTTTCTGTCTTGTTGGGTTTGTGTGTGTGTGTGTGTGGGTGTGTGGGTGTCTGTGTGTGGGTGTGTGTGGGTGTGTGGGTGTTGGGTGTGTGTGTCGTGTGTGTGTGTGTGTTGGGTTTGTGTGGGGGGTGTGTGTGTGTGGGTGTGTGTGGGTGTGTGGGTGTGTGTTGGGTTTGTGTGTGTGCACTTCATCCCATAGCTCCTGCCACGTTTGTCCTCTTCTGTGAAGTGTCTTCAAAGCTCTCATGCCCCTCTCGGCCTGCGCTGCCACCTGCCTCTGGTTGGTTTCCACACATTCCCTGCAGGTCCCGGACAGAGTCGCTCGCAGCCGAGTCTCTGCAGACGTTTCTCCCACTCTATGCTCCCTTCTCATGCCCTTTGAACTTTTGATGATTTTCTAATCTTAGTTCTAATACAGTTCTGTTCATCATTCCCTTTGCCATCTTGTTTTTGGGTTTGGGGGTCTTTGTCCTGTTTAAGAAACGTTTCCCTACCTCAGGGTCACGCATAGCCATGGGAAGGCAGCAGTCACAGCGAACACGCTCCTGGGAAGTGCATTTCCACGTGAAGATGGGGTGATTGGGAGGCCGAGGAGGCAGAGCAAACAGACGCTTCTGTGCTTCGGAAGCAGTCCCCAAATCAGTCTCTAGAGCGATCCGGGCAACACCACTCGGCTCTGTGACGTTTCCATTGTTCCTAACATCCCCCGAGTCTGCAGAAATGTATGTATTTCTTCCCCTAGAAAGTAGGTGATTTATTTCCTTATAACAACTAATTGCATGTGAAGCAGCATCTAGAAACATGATGAGTTGGATAAAAAGGGAATCAACGGAGAAACCAGGGTCAAGGGAGACACCTTGAGGCGGGAGGTGCTGGCCGTCTGGAGTGGGTGGTGTCTGATTTTTGCATGGATGAAACCCAGATTATTTAGAATGCTGTCAATACTCAGACTATTTACAAAGACATTTTTCAGGGCATCTGTCTCAGGATATTAATTGGATTTTCACAAAAATAGAGATGCATTCTGTTATCAAATACATTTGACAAATATAGAGTTAGAGAGAAATAGGTTCTCACCTGGTCCCAGAACCCATTTTTTCTGGGACCCCTGAGAGAACTGATACGACACTGTATGTGCTATTTTCTAGATCGACAATCATAATTAAAGCAATAAAGCCTGGCATTCCTGCAGGCAAGGCCCTGCTTCTGTGCTGAACACACAACCCCTGAGCTCCCTCGATCCCCGCTTCACAGAGGGAGAACCAGGGGCCAGGCCAACCCTAACCAGGCCACCAGGTTCCAGGACACAATTCCTTGCAAAAGTGCTTTGGGTCAAAATTGGCTCAAAATTGGCGGCCATATGCTGAGTTTCAGGCCACGTGTTCTGACAAGTCTCTGCTGGGCACTCAGCTCCGTCCACCCCCGTCCTCACAGTGACCCGGAGAGGGCAAGGGCAACGTCCTCTTATCAAAAGAAAGGTCCTGGTGTTAGGAAGGCAGGAGCCCAGGAGAGCCAGAATCACACCATTTTAAAATCCACTCGCCGGACACAGTCATGACCCCCGGTCCTAAGATGTTCACAGCTAAAGAGGCAGCTTGGTGACGCCTGCAAAAACACACTCCTCCAACAACAGAGTCCAGACGTCCAGAACCCCAGCAATGTGTGCTGTTAAGATCATTCCAGTTATGCTTTGATGGACTCACACACGAAAATGTCAAGGACAGTTTTCCTTACATAGAATAAGAAAATATCATGCTCTCTGCTCACCTACATGTAGGCACAGCTTGGCTTGGTCTTTCCACAGACGAGACCCCTATATAAGAAAAACCTAAAGCTGGGGCGTTGCTTCTCTTGCTTTCTGAGGGTGCCCTATCTGCAATGAAGTAGTTTTCAATAAACTTCCTTCTCTCACTGCACTCTGCAACTCGCCTGGAATTTCTTCCCACGAGAGATCCAAAGCCCTCTCTTGGGGTCTTGATTGAGACCCTTTTTCCAGTAACACTGAGGCTCCATTTCCAGTCATGGCAAAGCAGCTCATGTCAGTCCAACACACCACCTACATCCCCTGGACAGATACAGGCACCAACCACCAGAAGGTACCGGGCACAGCCGGAAGCAGAAAGAGACTGAACAGGCGTCCGTACTCGGAGGAAAGCCGTGGCGCCAGGCAGATTTCCTTTTGTAAGGCATTCCACTCGAGAGCAGCTGGCCCACGCAGGGGAGCAAAGCCTCGGGTAGGAAACCACCGTCCCTCCGGCATGAGGACCCAGAGAGCAACGGGGTGACTGTGGCAGCCAGGGAGGAAAGAGGAGTTCCTGGAAAGGACAGAGCCAGAGGGGACCCCAAAATCTGCATTTCACTCTGCCTAGATCTCCTGGAGACCTGGCCCACACGTGTGCAGGACTTTGTGCCGCCTGAAAAGAACCGATGAGCGGCACCAATGGTGCCACCGTAGGGGACAGAGCCTAGCGTCTGCCCGACTAAGCAAAACAGAAATCTGTCTGACAGCCTGGGGACCGGAAGTCTGAGGTCAGGCATCGGCAGGGTCAGTTCCTGCGGAGATGTGAAAGGGAATCTGCTCCCGGCCATGCCCCAGCAACCCTCTGTGTTGCTTTTGATGGGGTTCGGGACACGCTACCCCAAAGTATGGCACCTTGGCACTGTGAAAACAGCAGAAGCAGGAAGGTCTCTCTCACCTCCCCTCAGCCTTCTCCCCTACAGCAGGTCCCCAAGACCCTGATGTGAGACGCCCTCCCGAAACCCGGGGAAAAGACACGCCCTTCTCTCTGAAGATACAGGACACAGAGAACTGGTGTTGACAGCTGACGTGATGACAGTTCTCGTCTTCTCAGTTCAAAAGAATTTAAACAAGAGACACACTGCAAAAGAAGTGCAGCACAGAGTAACTTATTGCAAAAGAAGAAAAGTATTTTGCAGGGGCTCACGCCTGTAATCCTAGCATTTTAGGAGGCCGAGGTGGGCGGATTACTTGAGGTCAGGAGTTTGAGACCAGCCTGGCCAATATGGTGAAACCCCATCTCTAATAAAAATAGAAAAATTAGCCAAGCATGGTAGCAAGCGCCTGTAATCCCAGCTACTTGGGAGGCTGAGGCGGGAGAATCACTCAAATCCGGGAGGCAGAGGTTGCAGGGAGCCAAGATCATACCACTGCACTCCAGCCTGGGCAACAAGAGCAAAACTCTGTCTTTAAAAAAAAAAAAAAGAGTATTTTGAAAGTGAGGTGCAGAATAGACAGGCCACCCTAAGGGAGAAAGGACTCAGGGTGGGTCATGAGGGTGAGACAGCAGAGACCGGCCATAGGGAGGCTGCCTTTATGGGAGTCTCACCCGATGATCCATAAGAAGATGGGAGAGGTAGCCGGGCATGGGGGCTCATGCCTGTAATCTCAGCACTTTGGGAGGCCAAGGCGAGTGGATCATCTGAGGTCGGGAGTTCAAGACCAGCCTGACCAACATGGAGAAACCTCGTCTCTACTAAAAAAAAATACAAAATTAGCTGGGCATGGTGGCGCATGCCTATAATCCCAGCTACTCAGGAGGCTGAGGCAGGAGAATCGCTTGAACCTGGGAGGCAGAGGCTGTGGTGAGCTGAGATCTCACCACTGCACTCCAGACTGGGGATAGATCTAGACCCCACCTTAAAAAAAAAAGAAAGTGGGAGAGGTGTTATCAGGAAGCACAGTCTGGTGGTCGTCGGCACACATGCTTGTTTGTAGGTGGTGTGTCTCATTAGCATCTTACATCTCCACCCAGGGGTATCTTTTTCACTGTTATAATGAACAAAGGGTTGGTTCGAGGACAGGTAAAAATTAAAGTGTGCGTGCTCTTTAGAAGAGAGTCCCCGCTGGAGATAGCTTTGCTTGCGTGAGCTCAATTACAAAGCAAACACTGAGGTTTAGGTGGTGGCTGTGTATAGTCAACACAGTCATTTCCCTGCTCACCTATCCCCTCTCCCCCGGGCACACAGGCCGTGCTGAGGTGCCCAGTTCACCCATCACATCACAGCCTCCCGTCCTCATCCACGTTTCCCCACGGCCATCCCCTCTTCATCAAGCCAAAGCACAAACACACAGGTCCACCTGGCTCTGGGTCTTCATTTCCTTACGAAGGCTCCAAGTCACATAAAACTAAAATACATTTGTTCGCTTTTCTCTGGTGAATCCGTCTTGTTTCAGGAGCCTCAACCCTGAACCTTTTCTCTCTGCACTTGGAGTGTAGACGCGTCCCTTCTTCTCTCCCTCCGGCTTCACCGTACCTTCCCTGTGTGTCTGTGCACACATTTCCCCTTCTTAAAAGCATGCTGGTCATTGGATTTAGGGCCCACCCTAATCCATCATGAGGTCATCCTAATGCATAACATCTGCAATAACCCATTTCCAAAAATGTCTGTGTTCACAGGTTAGGGCTTGAACATATTTCCTAAGGACACTATTCAGCCCTCCACAAACACCAGCAGCAGACTAAGCCACGTTCAGGTCGTGTTGAGGTGGGAAATTAAAGAAAAATAAAATTAAAAAGAAAGAGAAATAAGCTTTCCCGTATTAGGCTAACTTGTCCTAGAGGCAGCAACAAGCACAGCCCAAACCCAGGAAAAGTCTTAATAATAATATTATCTAATGTGCTCTGGAGACTCTCCCAGCACTCCCTCAATATAGGGAGAAGAAAAACAAATTTTCCTTTGTTTTATGGAATGAGTTTATAAATTCCTGTTCTCTGTAACTATTGACTTCAAGCATTGTTTTATCTAAGCAGTAAAGTGAAGGTCATGAGCCTCTGAGCAGGCCTGAGTTACGGCCACCTGGGCAACATAGTGAAGGTTATGGGATAAGCCCGTGCCCAGGTTAACCTAGATAACGGACATGTGGGTTGCTTGGCAACAGTCATGTGCAATCCTGAGTTTGTCCTGCCTCTGTATCCCTGCTTTCACGCCACTGTAAGCTTGCTTCAAGCTAGCCCACCCCCTTTTGTGAAGTGTGTGTAAAAGTCAGGCGCTGTCTTTGTTCTGGGCCCAGTCTTTGGACATTGAGTCTGCTGGGTCTGAGTGCACTCAATGATAAAGATATCCTCCTGTGTACACTCCAAGGTCTCTCTCCGGTCCTCCTGATCCTGCAACAGTGCTAGGTCTCCCTAAAGGCCATCGGGCCCCTGGGTGGACCTTGGAGTCTTGCTCATTATCTCAGCCATGCTGTGCACATGACTGTAGTCCCAGCCTGGCCCACCCTGGGATGACAGGAGCTTCCCCCGGCGGTCCGTTTCCTGCACTGGCCCCCCCACAGGGATGTCTCCCAGGGCTGCCTGGACACGTCTTCACATTGGCTGAGGGGTCCCTCAAGGGCAACCAGACATGGCTTCTAGTCTAGTACCTGTTCTTCCCTCACAACATGAGTGAAGGATTTTAAACCTTCAAAGCCATATTTGCACTTACCTAACCCCTTAATCCTTTTCCTTCCGTCCCCCGTCCTGGAAGCCCCACTCAGTGTGTCAGGGGATTTCACCACCGAGGCACCTGTGGGCTGGGACCTGGGAGCTCTGCGTCCCCCTCCCCACACTCAGTTTCACTATGGCCAGATGCTGCCTCCGATGAAAGAAAGGGAGCCCATGGCAGAGCGTCGAGGGCGCCAGGGTGGCCACACAGGCCAGGAGACCAACCTCTAACCCTGATCTGACACAGGTCTAAGGGGAAGGTCATGAAGAAGAAACACAGCTCCTGAGAGACGTTTGGGGAGAACGAACCAGGACTAAACTAGAACTTACTCCGTGCAACCAGGGCCTCTCGGGAAACACTCAGGAAACCCTGGGCTGGCAGAACTAGTGGCGTCTTTGGGGACGGATCCCCGCAGGTTGGGAGTCCACGGTGCAGGGCCTGCATGGGGGACCAGACACGGCCACACCAGACGGGGCCCCTCTCAACGTTCAGCTGCTCAAGAAGGAGAAAAAGAGAAGGATTCTAAATGACGCACTGCCCTTCACACTTCAGGGTGAGGTTCCCGGCCCACTTTGTATTATGATTAAACACGCAGGTGTGCGCACACCCACAGCCCTGCACACACACCTGTGCACACTCCCAGCACCCACTCCCCCTTTTCTCCTGGGCAGAGGACGGCCAGGCCTAAGTGTGGTGCCCAGCACCAGTGACGGGCCCGGGGAAGGGACTGTGACGAGGAGGCCAGTGCCCCTGTGGACACAGCTGATCTAGAAACATCCAACTCAGCCCTCTGACACTGGACTCCAACGGAACCAAGCCACATCTGGGCAGAGGAAGGATTGGCGCCTCAGCAGCCAATCCCAGCCAGCAGGAGAAAGGACACAGCCCACAAAGCGCAGCCACATGCAGAGACGCACCTGCAGCCTCTGCAGCTCAGCGGGCCCAGGGAAGAGGCTCTTCCAGGAGGAGGCCCCGAGGGCATTCACAGACCAGCACCAGCAGGCAAAGAACCAGGAAAAGAGGGGCCACCTCCTGACAACACCCACAGACTCAGGGCCTGGCACCCTCCCCACATGTGTCCTTGGGGCACGCCAGACCAGACGGCACCTCAAGGCTTCCCAGCGCACACCTCACCGTCCAGACACCCTCAGTCATTGCCAAGCTGTGCTCCTAATAGCTTAGAAAATATGGTATTCAGGAAAAAGATTCCTCTGCAGGTGGCTCTGGTCAGGAAATTGATCATGAAACCACCACCTTCCCACTCGGTGCCGTCTAATCTGAGAGCCCCGTGTGCCTCCTGAGTGTAGAGGAGAATGTCTTCACCCTTCCCAGCAGCCACTCAGCTCCTGCCTGCTGCGATGGAGGACGTCCCTGAATGGCTCCCTCCCCGCCCCCATCTGAGGGCTCCTCAAAAGCAGGGTTTCGCCCCCACCCTGGAATCCCAGACACCCACTGCAGCCCCCGCAGGCCCCCAGGAAGTGCGGGATCCCCCTCGCTGCTGGGATTCTAGTACAATGCTGTGTCCGGCCCACATGGGGGAGCCGGCTCAGTGGCTTTTTTTTAGGTGAAATAGTAGTTAGTCAACACCTTAAAATCTGGATATGCTTCCTAAAAATTCAGATTTGAGGCATCTATGGAAAAAGTTTGCCCAGAGCAGCTGTGAGCTCAGCACCAGCCGCCCGTGGACATGGCGGCACCTCACTTTGCCACAGACCCCACCACTCCCTGTTGCCCTCCCCAGCGCTGAGCCAGATGGATAAGGACTCTGCAGCTAAAGTGCATTCCTAGAACACCTGGCTCAGGCAAAGTCCCAGCCCCAGATATGGCTCCAGAGGTAATCCCTGCCTCCCTGCCTCCCAGGTCAGCTCCTGGCCCAGCTGCTGACCCCCAAGGCCTCACGAGGTTGGTGCGAAGCTGCCTTCTCTGCGGGGCCTTCTGGGACACCCCCTGCCACCTTGTGCTTTGTGGCAGGGGGTCTGCAGCTACAGGGGCGTCTGTTCCCCCATGGCTCATTCACTCAGACCAAACATTGCTGTAGCCCAGGGACCCCTCGGGAGGGCGTGGACACTAGCGGGCAACACTGTGTACCCATCAAGCTGGGCATGGGGAGGGCAGCTGGGGGGAGTCTGAGCTGCTGGGGCCTGGGATGCCGCTTCAGTAGGGCGTCCACACTG
This sequence comes from Homo sapiens, assembly GCF_000001405.40. Taxonomy (NCBI): domain Eukaryota; kingdom Metazoa; phylum Chordata; class Mammalia; order Primates; family Hominidae; genus Homo; species Homo sapiens. The sequence continues at coordinate 115,870 of NT_187527.1, read as the reverse complement.
GGCCAGGCATGGGCCCGAGTCCCATGAGAACTTGTGGCCTGTCCAGTGTGTGGAGCTTCGACGGGGCACCATGGACGGGAAAGACACCCCCTCACCACGCTGGGACTCACCCCTTCCCTACACTAGGACTTGCTCCTCCCCTCCCCACACAGGGACTTGGGCTCCACCATCTGTCCTGATGACTCCAGGCACCAAGGACCTTGTCTGCTGAGAGGGCTCAGACAGGAGGTGGGCCGGGCGGCAATGTGCGCGGGGGCAGGCGTGTCCCCGGCACCAAGAGGTCACAGTGGAGCTGAGCAGGTGCAGCCTCCGCACTCGGGCCTCAGCCTTGCGGCCCAGGAGAACAGAGTCAAAGACAGGCGTCCCCGGAGCACGGGACTTTCCAGGCTGCTCTGTCCGGGAGACAGAGCCTGCAGACCCCTCCTCACGCCCGCTCCAGGAAGAGGAGGAAGCCTGGGCCTCCTCTCCAAGCACAGAGAGGCCCCAAGCAGGGGCGGGGCAAGGAGGGTGCTGGTCTCTCTAGCGTTTTGTGAAGGGAGCAGCACTCGCGGTGAGCTGGGCGCGGGGCCCACCGCGCCGTCCTTGTCCCCTGCCACCATCTGCCGGTGCAGCCGAGCGGGCGGCGAGGAGGGTCCTTGGGGAGAAGCAGAGACCGCCCCATGCAGGCGTCTCACCGCGGACATGGGCGAGCGCTTCAGTTAGGAACATTTTTCCTTACAAAGGATGTCATGACTGTGGCTCACTAATTAGTAGTTAATAGAACCCAGTTCAAAAATGACTCCATAATGTGATCACCGGGCCCCTTGCAGATGGCCCAGCCGTAGTGGGCACCCCCTTCTCAAGGGAGGGCGGCCCCTGGGAGCCAGCAGGCCTCATGCGGAGCAGCCGCCACCAGCCTCGGGAGCCCTGGGCCTGAGTGTAACCGAGTTCACCTTCATGGCAGATTTCGGGGAAGGGCCCTGGGCCTGGCCCCTGGGCTCGGGGACGGCGCCCGCGTGCCACCGTGAGTGCAGGGCCAGGATGCTTCAGGAGCTGTCCTTTAGGTGCGTGGAGGCCCCGAGTGGCCGTGCAAGGGGACACAGTGCTCAGCACTTGCCAACTCCCGGGCAGACCGGGCCTGGGTCCAGGTTCTCAGGTCCAGCGTCCGGTGGCCCCGACTCCCTGGGCTCCCGGGAGGCACGAAGGACAGAGCTGGGTGATGCCGCACACGGGGAAGGCTCAGCCTGTGCTGCTGCTGCGACTGTGAGGACGCCGGCTTCACCGTCACAGAGCCCAGGTACAGGGGCGCAGGACGGGGCTGGCACAGGAGGCTTGGAGGCGGCGTTCCGGGCTGGCAGGCGGAGGGGAGGCGGCGGCGGAGGGGAGGCGGCGGCGGAGGGGAGGCGGCGGCGGAGGGGAGGCGGCGGCGGAGGGGAGGCGGCGGCGGAGGGGAGGCGGCGGCGGAGGGGAGGCGGCAGGCGGGACTCCTGGGCTGGAAGGCGGCTGAGCCCGGTAGCTGGAGCCCGGCAGCCTGGACGACCGCCTCTGATGGGGTGGGGGTGGCGGGTGCAGGAAAGTCCACTCAGAACCTCCGTGGTGCTACAGGGTTGTCTGGAGCCCACTGCACTGGGATAGCTCAGGAAAGAGGAAGAAACGCAAACGCCTCAGCCTGCGGCAAATGCATTCTCCCAAATTCCTCCTCCGCTCTGGCTGACTGCAGATAGTGCACACTTGACCTACAAACTCCGAAACACGGGGAGATCAGAATGCGCTCCCTGCCGCCTTGCTGCTCCATCAGGCACGGCCAGCACGGTGGCGCCCTGCCGTCCCTCCGCACACACGTCAGAAGGAAGGGGCCTGGAAGGACAAGTTTTGAAGTGTAGGCCGGTGTTGTGATTGCTGGTTGGTTTGGCCTCTCGGCTCCAGGGCAGGTGGGGAATCCCCGGGGCGCTCGCGCATAGGACCTGGGGAGACCACCACGGGCTTTACAAAAACGCAGTCCTGCTGGAGACGCCTCTCCTGGGGCTATTCCTTTCCGTTTTTAGGTGGCTTCCTCCCATCGGTGCTGCACGCAGCGGTTTTTCTGAAGCAGCTGCTGGTTCTCACCGGCGTCTTCCACCCGCGCTGCCTGAGCACCGTCTTTCCACCTTGTGCATTCTGTGCGCTGCGGCATGTCCCGGCGCGTCCTGAGGCCTAACCCCAGTTCGCAGGGAGCCACAGATCAAGGTGTCCTGAGCACACGCCAGGACTCGGGAAATCACGAACAGCTCCCAATCCACTGATGACACCCACAGAACTCCAGTTTAAAAAAAAACAACTGTGAAGGATAATATAAAAAATAAGTGTACCGTCTGCTTTATGATAGTAAACGAAAATTTCCCAAAAGCTTTCACCTGAAACTATCAATGACTTGGAAACCTCATAAAGAAGCAAGTGACCCGGGAGACTGAAACGAGATCACGGAGGCTGGCCCTGGGCCGGCCCTGCTGCCGGCTCCCTGAGGCCTGGAGGGATGGATCCTGGGAGAGGAACCCCGTCCAGGACAAAGCCTGGGGGCTTCACTTTGTGCATCTACCTGATGGCACCAGGGCGGCGGCTGGGACAGTGTTTCTGGGTGCGGCTGGGAGGGTGTTTCCGGACGCGGTGACCCCCGTGTGCTGGGCGTCATCCAATCCTCTGACGGCCTGAAGGTGCCGCGGTGGAGGAAGGAGGAATCGCTCCTGCTCGCCTGCCTTCCTTCCTGCTTGCTCCAGGACGCCTCATCTCACCGTCTCTGGACCAAGGTCTGGAATTTACACCAACCTCCCTCAGAGTCGGGTTGACTGACACCGCAGGCTTTCCTGGGTCCCAGATGGCAGATCCCGAGACCTCTCAGCGCCTGTCACCGCGAGAGCCAGCTCCTCACAATAAATACGTAAACCCATGTATGGGTGGGGCAGAGAGACCCTAAGCATTTCCACACCTGCCTTGAGTGTGTCTGCATCGTCGTTTTGTGATATACATTTCGCCTGCAGTAAGTGCAAAGGCCACCATTCCTGAGACGCAGGCCTGGGCAAAACCCAGGACTCCTAGGTGCCCCGACGCCCCTCCCCAGACAATGCTCCCTCCCACCCACAAGGTTTCCTGGGAGCAGCCGTCGAAAGAAGAAAAAAACAGTCCCGATGGGGGCTGAGGGCAGAGGAGGCCCAGCTGGCCGTCCTCCAGATTCCCATGCTGCCAACAGCTGCCCTCCGGACGGACAGCTCTGCCAGGGACGGTGCCCAGACAGAGGGCAGCGCGTCTTTCTGGGACTGAACCGACGCCAAGCATGCGTGTCACTGAGCCCATGTAACAGAGAGCGGCAGGCGAGATACAGGCGTGCACCCCGGAGAGGACAGGCTGAGGACCCTCAACAGAGACAGGAAAACCTGCCCGTCACTGAGAAATGGTTGGAAAAGTAAGCTCTCTGTGATGTGACAGGCGCTGTCCTTGCTTGAGAGATTGGCGCTGCATTTGGGGGCCCCCAAAAGGTGAACAGAGTATGTGACATATCTGGCACAAGACGTGAGCCCACCCGCATTTCGCTGGGGGAACTGAACTTTGTAATTTTGTTTTCCCACTGGGATTCCTGCTGTCAACACCTTTGGTGGGGGGAGAGTGTCTCCATCACCTGCCTCACAACACGCACCCCTTTGTGTGTCTGTTGTTGTCATTGTTGTTTTGTTTTGTTGCTGTTGTTGTTGTTTATGAGATGGAGTCTCGCTCTGTCGCCCAGGCTGGAGTGCAGTGGCATGATCGCGGCTCACTGCAACCTCCGCCTCCCGGGTTCACGCCATTCTCCTGCCTTAGCCTTCCGAGTAGCTGGGACTACAGGCGCCCACCACGACGCCCGGCTAATTTTTTGTATTTTTAGTGAAGACGGGGTTTCACCGTGTTAGTCAGGCTGGTCTGGATCTCCTGACCTCGTGATCCGCCCGCCTCGGCCTCCCACAGTGCTGGGATTCCAGGCCTGAGCCACCGCGCCCGGCCGCGTGTCTGTTTCTTCTGTCTGCTGGTTTGCTGGTTCTCCCTTTTGCTGCTGGTTTGTTTTTGTCCCATGAGGGTTTAAAGGGCTGCCTTTGGGGGCTAAGTGTCCTAAGAGCAGAAGCTCTAACGCCCACGCTGCTCTCTGAAGCCCCTGCCAAGAACAGCCAGGTCTCAGCTGTCAGATGTTTTCCAGCTGTTACTCGGTTTGAATCTGACACCAGCCCCAGCTTCACTCCGGGAGGCGTCTGCCCAGACACCAGAGGAGGTGCGAAGTTCCGGGGAAGCAGCTGGGCCCGGCCCTGACTGGTGGGTTCCGTGCATCCCACCCTCCTCATTGGATGAGTTTTCACTCACTGAATTCGCGCCAGCGTCCTCAGCACAGGCAGGCGTGGCTGAGTTCAGTCCCTTCATGATCAACTTTGCATGTCTAAGTTTCTGGAACAAAGGGCGTGGCATCGATGGGCGATTTCTGTGGCCCTCCAGGGGCAGCTCCCCAGCAAAGCGCCCAGCACCCACATCACAACAGGCTGCGCAGGCCACAGCGCCCGCGCCTCTGCAGCTGGAAGCCCCCAGCCAGGGGTCACATCAAGCTCCTCGAAGGAGTCCCCAGCACCTGTTCATTGCAACCTGAGCCGAGCTCCAGAAGGCACCCTTACCCTCTCCACCTGAAGCAGGTGATGTGTTTGCAGGAAACGAGCCCGCGGGTCTCAGCTGCCTGGTTTTCCTCTCGGGCCGCGCTCCTGCCACCCTGTGTTCTTCCCCAGCAAGAGAGAAGAGTGGGGGGCGGGGAAAGAGAAATGCCTCCAAGGCCAAGCAAGGCCAAGCTGAAGAACAAAGTGCCCCAAGGGAGCCAGCCAGGGCTGCAGAAATGGCTCTGCCCACCCCATAGGCCCCGAGGAGCTGGCCGGACAGCGGCTTAGGGGCTCAGGCAGCCCCAGAACAGTGGATGCCTCATTCATTCCGAGACCCACCGCCTTGCACCCCGAAACGTGGCCCTGGCTCCCTTGTGTAAACCCCATCCTCAAGCACAGAGCAGGGCCATCTACGGAGACCTGGAGCCAGGCCAGGGCAGGCACAGCCCAGGGACCCAGGCTCCACGCGTCCCAGGGAGAGCTGACCCAGAGCCGGGCTCCCACTGCTGGGTGAAATCGGGAGGAGGGCTCCAGAAAAGGGGCTGCTGCTGTCGACACTTTCCCTTTGTCACGGACATTCTTTTTTTGTTTGTTTGTTTGTTTGTTTGTTTGAGACGGAGTCTGTCACCCAGGCTGGAGTGCAGTGCTGCAATCTCATCTCACTGCAACCTCCACCTCCCGGGTTCAAGCGATTCTCCTGCCTCAGCCTCCAGAGTAGCTAGGATTACAGGCACCCACCACCAATCCCGGCTAATTTTTGTATTTTTAGTAGAGACAGGGTTTCACCATGTTGGCCAGGCTGGTCTCTTAACTCCTGAGCTCAAGTGATCTGCCAGCCTTGACCTCCCAAAGTGCTGGGATTACAGGCGTGAGCCACCACGCCCGGCCTTGGACATTCTTGATGGCTGTAGATTGATATTCTAAGATTGCTGGTGTCCCGTAGATGCACGAGTCCAAAATAATTGGAAAGTAAACATTTCAGTCAGCCTCACTTTAGCATATTACATCAAATAGCAGAGCTGAAGTTTTTCAGTGTAACCTGCCACATTTAACCCCACTGCTGGGTTTACATATTTCAAACCAAAAGGTACCCAATAACCAGGTGTCGAGAGAGGCCAACTGAGCTGGGCACGCTGGCTCACACCTGTAGTCCCAGCACTTTGGGAGGCTGAGCCAGGAAGACTGCTTGAGCCCAGGAGCTCAAGACCGGCCTGGGCAACATAGTGAGACCCAATCTCTACAAGATATACAAAAATTAGCTGGGCATGGTGGTGCACACCTATAGTCCCAGCTACTCAGGAAGCTGAGGTGGGACAATCACTTGAGTTCAGGCGGTCAAGGCTGCAGTGAGGGGAGATCGCACCACTGCATTGCAGCCTGGGTGATGGGAATGAGACCCTGTCTCAAAAACAAGGGATGGACTCACCTGGCACAGAAGCCACAGCCCCATCCAAGAAACGCTCACCTCGCTGGTGGGACTGCAGATCACCCACACTAACACACAGAGAGTTAGAAGTGCATCATTGCTTAGATTTTAAAATGACTAAAAGCCCAAAATGGAATTTGCCCTCCATTTCTACTTCTGCCAACCCAGGAGACTGCTCCAGAAGGTGGAGCCGGTAGAGCGTTTAGGAGCCGGTCAGGAGCCACCTGAGGCCTGAGTCTCAGAGGGCAGCCTCCGCCATCCCCCACGAACCAGGAAGGCGGGGACCACGATGCTGCAGGCTGAGCCAGCTCCTCTGCCATCCGGGTGCTGGAGCACAAACTCGTCAATGGGAATGGCATAAGGTGACTGAGCTCTTCTCCACTTTTTATTTTCCAGAACATGAGTAAAAGCCTCACTCTTAAGAATCCTGGAAGAGTAGCATACGATTCAGGCGGGATAAAGATGTTTTGGGAGAAAAAAATCGAGCATCACGCAAGACACCTGCAGAACGAGGACATCAGGGTTCGCAGAAGCGCTCTGAACAAGTGAGTCGGGGTGTGCAGTGCATCGGGGACCCCTATGCCTGAGCCACGCTCGCCACCCAGGGGCACAGCCCCGCCAGCAGTGTGCCCTGACACAGCCCTGGCCCTCAGCCCACCATGAAACCCCTCAGCTCCAGGCCTGTGAAAGGAGTCAACCCAGGAGGAAACTGACAGCCATTCACTCACCTTAGTGATCACGCTTGGAACAGTAGGTGGGAAATGACAAGACACCACGTTGCTAACCGTGAGACCAGGAGCTCAGATCAAACATCACTATCCAGGCAACACCACACCCCAATGCCCACGGACAATTCACCCCCACCCCCACACCCACACCCCTTCACCCACACCCCAACACCCACACCCCCACACCCACACACCCACACCCCAACACCCACACCCCCTTCACCCACACCCCAACACCCACACCCCAACACCCACACCCCTTCACCCACACCCCAACACACACACCCCCAACACCCACACCCCAACACCCACACCCCTTCACCCACACCCCAACACCCACACCCCTTCACCCACACCCCTTCACCCACACCCCAACACCCACACCCCCACACCCACACCCCTTCACCCACACCCCAACACCCACACCCCCACACCCACACCCCAACACACACACCCCAACACCCACACCCCAACACCCACACCCCAACACCCACACCCCCTTCACCCACACCCCCTTCCCCCGCCATCTCCCTGACACTCCGTCCAGGATCACAGGAACTTTTCCAGGAGGAAATGTCTTTCTCTGGCTTGTTTTTCTGAGATCACTGCCCTTGAGTGACGTATCTGTACTTGTGCCCTTCCTCCTCCTAGCAGACTTGCTCAGGAAGGCAGATACCAAGCCAGCACGCCTTTCTCTCCTAGGGCCAAGGCCAGGGGTCTATGGGTGCTGAGTGGGTGACCCTGAGCCGACCCAGGGTGTAGCCACTGCTCAGGGACAGCTGGGTGGGGAGCAGAGCTCATTTGCTGCAAGACACTGGCCGGCACACAGCAGGAGCTTCCAGAGGCTCCAGGCAGCCCTCGGTGCTCAGGCCCCGAGCAAGAGAGCCGTGGTACCCCTTCAGCAGCCCGAGGCGGTCCCACAGAGCCTGGGGGTGCCCCTCCCCACTCACCAGCTACCCAACTACGGACATGGACCCAGCACAGAGCCCAGCACCACGCAGGCACTCGGCAGACGATGGTGAAGGAGAGGCCCCCCCCCACCACCGAGTGCTTGCCCCACGGGCCCTGCCTCATCCCCGCCCTGTGCTTCCTGGACGTGTGCCTGTGTGTGCCTACGTGCCTCCGCGTGCCTCTGCGTGTGCCTGCATGTGCCATGTGCCCTGGTGTCCTCTGGCCATTGCCTGGGTGCAGATCCCAGGAGTGGGCTCAGGCCCCGGGACTGTGTGTCCACGCTGCCTTCTCTGGCCCCTGAGGTGGAGGTTGGTGTCCAAGGCAGGCACCAGCGTTCTCTCAGGGGCTGGCAGAGCCTCCATTTGCACAACCCCCCTCCATCCACCCACACAGCCCGGTTCTCCCCAGGCCACGAGGCCAACCACTGCTTTTAAGGAGGTCACTCTTAGGGTTCCCGTTAGAGAGTAGCCTAACTTTCCTCCCCGCATGAAGCCCAGAGAGCTGAGAGGGTCCCGTGTGCTGGTGTGAGCCCAAGGGCCAGGCCCACCCCAGGAAGCCGCCGTGAGAGAGGAGCTGGCCCATGTGGGAGACCGGCCATTCGCAGCCCCTGGCTCGGGACCCCACGGTCCCCTGTAAAGGGACAGGGGCCGCTGCTTCCACCACCATGGGGCTGGCTGTCCTGGCAGCCTCTCTGGGATGGGCGGCCGGCTGTGAGGGCCGAGGACTCCAGGCCCGGAGGCGCCAAGTCTGTGGGACCGTGGCAGCTGCTGACATCCTGCCCAGCTGACCCTCTCATGCATGGAGCTGCCCTGGGCCCCACCAGTCAGCAGCCATGGCCTGGCAAGGGTGAACATAGCTGTTGCTCGGGGACCATCACCGTGGGGCCCAGCCGTCCGGGGTACACTGCCTGCCACTCAGCAGCACCATCGTCATCTGGGTCCTGGGCATCTGTGACAAGTGTCCTCATGGACACAGCTCACCCTTGGCTGGAGCCGGGCACCCACCCCACTCTCCAACTTCTAAAGCCAAAAGCACTTGAGGCTGAAGGAAGCGGCAGCTGCGGGCAGGTGGGGATCTGCCCAGGTCTCGGGGAGCCTGGACCACTCTGACCAGGCCATTCCTGCCGCCAGGTCCGCCCATGCGTGGTGCTGAGATCACAACATAGCACCGTCCACTGTGGCCAGGCCGGGCAGGTGAGGCGGGCAGGCAAGCGAGAAGGAAGTGGGCACCCACAGGCAGCCGGGCAGGGTGCAGGGAGGCAGGCGGGCCCTAGGCAGCCACAGAGGCCGCCCTGTCCTGCGAGGGCACCTGCCTCTCCGTGAGCAGAGCAGAGACAGAGGCTGCAAGAGCTCAAGCTCAGGCACAGTCTCTCCGGGGCTCAGAAGCTTCCAGAACTGGGGACCCAGGCTGCTTCCCGGGGAAGGCATTTTTCCTCTCCTGTGAGGAGGGTCCTGAGTGAGACGCCCCCCCCCCCCCCCACCAACCACTGGTCAGCAGCCTGAGCCAAGGCCGGCCACGAGATCCCAGGGCCCTGGGAGACCCAGCAAGGTCACAGCTGCTGGCTGGGCAGGGATGCGGTGACACCCCCACCCCTGGCAGGGAGTGTCATACTCCTGCTCTCACAGGTGCCCAGGTGCTGAGAGACACGGGCTTGGCCGTCACTAAGTTCCGAGAGCTTGACTCACAATGCCGAAATTATCGCCCTGCCCCAGGCTCCGCGTGGGATGGGCTGAGCAGCTGGAGGGGAGGAACAAGATGCTGCAGGGCCCAGGGAGATGCCCAGACAGGGTCCCGGAGGCCACTGAGTCCCTCCACACCAAGGACAAGAAGGCGGCCTGAGGGCCCACGAGCTCCAGACTCTGCATGAGCTTCCGGAGGGTCATGGAGAAGGAACACCACGCGTGGGGTCCAAGCATCCACGCCAGAGTTCACAGGATCTTCATCATGGAAATGGCCCGCACCTCGCTGACCCCGTAATAATCCCACCTCGGGGTCCACGCTGCAGCAGAGTCCCAGGGTTCTCTAGCGCATCTCTGGTGCCCAATAAAACCTAAGTCAATTGGATTGAATGTTTCGTGCTAAATTTTCTTCCTGTCTTTAAGGTTTCTACATAGTAAACACTTGCCACAATGTTACCAACTTACGACAAGCCATGTAAAGAAACTGCTGCATCTCAGGGACTCTTCAGCTGCCTGACCACCTCCAATTTGCAGATTTAAATGCAATTTTATTTCACCTTTGATCAAAATATGTACATAAGTTTCAACTTCAGGACATTCCTTATACTGCATAAAGCTTTGTCCTTTTCCAAAATTCCTTTAATTATTTCATATTTAGTACCTGAAACATCTCAGAAAATTAAATATCCTCATTTTTACACTTGAAAAAGTTCAGGTTTAGAAAGGGCAGCATCTCCCAAGGCCACGAGGGCTGTTGGAGCCGAGATTCACCTCCTGATGCTCAGCATGAGCCCTGGGAGCCCCACTGCAAGCTGCAACTACGCTGGACAGGTCAGAGGGAGGGAGAGGGGCCGCCACACTGCCCAGAGGCCAGACGGTCAAGAACCTGGGGTGGTCTCCTGGACAGAGGAGGGTGCTCTCGGCTGTAGCCGAGGCCGGTTCTGACACCTGTACCCGCACCCCACACCTCGCGTGTGCTCTTTTATAGCCGCAGGGATCAGCCCTCAGGAACACAGAAGCACTGGGGCCTCGGCTGGCTGGGGCTGCTGTGGAATCTCACATCATCTCCCCAGTCGTAGATGTTGATGCGGTTCGGTTCTGTTTTGTTTGGACCCTCTGGTCAAGTTGTCAAAGACAAAGAAATTAGCCCCAGCTTTGCGGGTCTTGTCAAAGACAAAGAAATTAGCCCCAGCTTTGCAGGTCATGGGTAACCCAACAAAGCACTAACGAGAGGATCGCGTAGCCAGGTCCCTGCTGTGCCACGTGCAGACTCCACGCAGGCCCACGCCATCTCAAGTGTGCATTTCTGGGGCTGACCATGAACTACTGCACAGACAGCACGTGCAGAAAGAAGGATCGGAACCTGACACAAAGCCCGGGTGCCTGGATGCCTGGTCTGCCAGTCAGTGGGCAGAAGCGCAGCCAGGGCCCTCGCAACACTGGCCATGGAGATGTCCAGGGCTGGGGTCACAGGTCAGCACTGGGCCCCACCCTCACCGCTAGTGACTCAGGGATTTGCAGGGAGGGAGGGAGGTGATTAACAGCCCTGAAGATAGTTCATGAACAGAAACCACTCGCTAATCTTTGCAAAGCCCCAGGCTGCGGAGGAGTGATTTTATCTGATGATATCCTCAGAACACTATTACTGTCAACACCGTAATAAACTGAGGTGTCAGACTGGACTTTTGGGGGATGGAAGAGCATATTCATGCTGCAATCTTCATCACAGTTTGGCCCTGCAGAACCTTCCAGAACAGCCACCCCCTCCTGCTTGCCTCATGACCCAATTACTCTCCAACGATGCAGTCACCTTCCCATTGACAGCAGAGGTCCCGGCCACAGGGGCAGCGGGCAGTCTGCCAGCCACATCTTCACTCTGTTTTGTCGTTAATCCTCAGGCAAAGCTGGGCCCAGCTCCCAAGGCTGGAAGGCGCCCAGTGCAGAAGAGAGACAGGGAGAGAAGGAGACCAGGGAGGGTAGGAGAGGGGCAAGGGGAAGAGGGATGGCTGGGCCGGCTTTCCAGGAGAGGAGAGGGACGCCAGCCCCCAGGGCTCTGAGCCCGGAGTCCCTCCTCACACCTGGCCCCTTTGCAATTCACCTGGTGTACAGAGGGCATTTCTGAAATCTTTGCTCCAGGAGGTGAATTTCAGCAGAATACCCATTGTTTGTATGAGGCACAGACCGGAGGGGACCTTGGTTGAATAACCAGTAATTGCAGGCACTCCCATGATCCACCTGGGAGGCTCGTCAGTTTTCTAAAACAGACACCATTGCTCAAGCCTGTTTACTTTTAAAGCACACAATAATGCTCGCTTGCTAGTTTGTTTTTGTCCTGCTAAATCTTTGAAAGGCTTTCCATAACTCCTGTCAAATGTTGCCAAATTCAACGCAGTTGGCATTTAAATATAACTTTGGAATCATGCACTGTTCCTTTTTCATAACTGACTGCGACTGGGTTGGGAAGGTAGGAGGGTGCACTCCCGGCCGAGCTGCTTGGGGCTCCAGGGCTGGGCCACATCCTTTGCTGCTGGTGCCTCAGGTCTAGAATCGGGCCCCAGGATTCCTCATCCAGACAAGCTCTGAGACTCAGAATATTCCCAGTTTTAGAGAAGTGGTACAGTGCAGATCCCAGAAGTCTCCTAACACCTGTCACCAAGCATTTTAATGTTTCTGCGGTAAGACTCAGACACGCTCACGCTCAGTTAGGCGCGTGAAGACCTGGGCAGACTCAGTCATCTCAGACCAGGTCCTGCTGCCCAGCAACCCCCAGAGAGCTTCCCGTGCTCCAGAACTGCCGGACTTGGGAGCGGCGGGCGAGGGGCTGAGGGAGGAGCTGCCGGTGTGGGCGTGAAGCCGCCAGGCTCCGCCTGTGCCCGCCACAGTGCTTGGCGTTCGTGAGGTGAGGCCCAGGCAGTGGGCCATGGTGCTTCCTGGCCTGGCCTGGGCACCGCAGCTCCTCCCTGCGGAGGCCGGTCTGATGCCGGGGTCTGAGCTCCTGTCACAGAGGTGCCATCAGGAAGACAGAAACCGAGGCCACAGAACCAATTAAACCAGGAGGACATCCGTGGATGTATTTGCTACATGCTGTTTCCTTTTTCTCTAGTGCACATCTTTTTAAAATAAGAGCCTTTCCCTACAGAGCCAAAATCGAATTATCATACTTAACAAAACATATATCCTTCATATCAGCCAATATCTAGTACATTTTCCAGTTTCTCCAGTTGAACACAATTTCCTCTGAAGGCAGGTTTGTCTAAGGAAGATCAGACGTGGAACCAGTTCTGCCACCTGCCTCGCCGAGGAGGCCAGGTGTCCGGGAAAGGTCCCCCCCGGGCCTGTTGGTGCCGCCACCTGCCTTGCCAAGGAGGCCAGGTGTCCGGGAAAGGTCCCCGCCGGGCCTGTCGGTGCCGCCACCTGCCTCGCCACCGAGGAGGCTGGGTGTCCGGGAAAGGTCCCCCCCGGGCCTGTCGGTGCCGCCACCTGCCTCACCGCCGAGAAGGCCGGGTGTCCGGGAAAGGTCCCCGCAGGGACTGTTGGTGCTGTCCTGGGGGGTTCTTCCCCATCCCCCCTCATTCCTTAGAAATGGAAATCAGCTCCACAGGTTGCCGGATTCACGGTGAACATTTCGGCTGGGACGTATCCAGGGAATGTGAAGCTCCTGTACTTCTCACCAGGAGATATGCTCCCTGGGTGACCCCCACTGGGAGGCTGAGGCTGATGCCCACACGAGGGGAGGCTCACAGCCTTCCCTGCCATCGATACCAGACAAGGGTCCTGTCCCCAGCAGCTGCTCACCTCACTGGTCTAAACACTCATGGGCTAACCTTGTCCTAGTCCATGATTTCAGTGGTGTTTGGAAAAGATGATTTTTCTAACTCAGTCACTCATTCACATTTATGGGCCGACATTCCTTTTTGTTGTTGTTTTTTTGAGACAGAGTCTCATTCTGTCACCCAGGCTGGAGTGCAATGGTGCGATCTCGGCTCACTGCAACCTCTGCCTTCTGAGTTCAAGCAATTCTCCTGCCTCAGCCTCCCAAGTAGCTGGGATTACAGGCGTGTGCCACCACACCCATCTAAAGTTTGTATTTTTAGTAGAGATGGGGTTTCGCCATGTTGGCCAGTCTGGTCTCGAACCCCTGACCTCAGCTGATCCACCCACCTCGGCCTCCCTAACACTGTAATCCAAAGTGCTAGGATTATAGGCATGAGACACCATGCCCGGCCCAACATTCCTTTTTAAAGGAGGTCTTTCCTCATACCTAGTGCCATTTGGTTATACTGGCATCCTCTTTCTAGCACAAAACAAGATAATGTTTGATTTTTCCCTCTGGCTGCCAATATTCAAAATAAAGAGTTGGTTTAAGATCTGCCTGAGTTTTTCAGGCTTTCTCTTTTCTTAGAGTGTCATTGTGGATTCATGGATGTAAATGGATTAGATGTATCCTAGTTAACTATGGGCCTCATTCTTTTGGATGCTCAGGTTGTCCCAGATTTCACCAATGCCACCTCTTTCAAACTGGCTCCTTGTCTTCTCGACAGGCCCCATTCGTCCTGGAGAGCCCCCTCACTTTCAGGCACAATGAAACGTTCTGGGACCCTTGTGCACGTTGGCTGTCCCCAACCAGAAATCTGCCATATCTCTATTAGAAACCAGGGTTTGTCTTGATTGTCACAATGTAACATTAAAATTGCCTGTTCTTGAAATACTGGAAATAAGGGGGAAGCTGCAAATAACCCTATCCCTATTAAAGAAATTAAAGTTGTACATAAAAACCTTCCCACAAAGAAAACCCCAAGACTACAGTAGCAGGAAAAAAAGATTCAGTAGGTACTTATGACAAAATTCTTAGCAAACCAGAAATAATGGGGACCTTCCACAACCTGATTAAATACATTTATAGAAAACTAACAACTAAAACTAAACTAAAAGTGACCCATACTTAGGGCCACTTTTGACACTTCTGTTCCATACTGTACTGGGGGTCCCAGCCAATGCAATAAGGCAAGAAAAGGAAACAGAGGGCATAAAAATCAGAAAGAAAGATGGGGGAGGGAGAGGAAAAAGAGAGGAAGAAAGCCATTATTTGCAAGCATGATTATGTGTTGAGAAAACCCTATGTAATCTACAAAACAAACTACTGAAAATGATTCAGTGAATCTAGTCAGGTTGCAGGATATCTGATCAAGTACAAAATTCAATTATCTTCCTATATTTCTATGAACAATTTAAAAATGAAATTGTTAAACAATTCCATATGCAATGGCATAAAAAGGCACCAAACCTGAAGAATAGAAGTAACGGAGCCCCAGCTAGACAGCAGCTGATGCCCCCCGAGAGGTCCCATGCAGCCATCCCCGGGCAGCTGTCCCAGGTGCCCACCCCCCACTCACCAAGAGCCCTGAAAATCAAGGGTCTGAGCCCAGGGGAGCAGACCCAGCTCATGACAACAAATGTACAAGGCCAAACGGAAGGCACCTGCTGCTTCTTGCCTCCCAGCCTGACAGACAGTTACACGTGGTGGGGCCAGTGAGAGGGAGGATGGGAGGAAAGAGGCAGGGAGTGAGGGGTAGTGAAGGGAAGGGAGGGAGGAAGCAGGTTGGCAGGGGAGGGGGAGCCAGTGAGAGGGAGGACGGGAGGAAGCAGGTGGGGGGGCAGCAAGAGGGAGAATGGGAGGAAGCAGGTGGGGGGTGCCAGTGAGAGGGAGGACGGGAGGAAGCAGGTGGGGGGGCAGCAAGAGGGAGAATGGGAGGAAGCAGGTGGGGGTGCCAGTGAGAGGGAGGATGGGAGGAAGCAGGTGGGGGGGCAGCAAGAGGGAGAATGGGAGGAAGCAGGTGGGGGGTGCCAGTGAGAGGGAGGACGGGAGGAAGCAGGTGGGGGGGCAGCAAGAGGGAGAATGGGAGGAAGCAGGTGGGGGTGCCAGTGAGAGGGAGGATGGGAGGAAGCAGGCGGCGGGGGGGGCAGTGAGGGGGAGGGAGGGAGGAAGTCCACCCCACCCTCCAGCCTGACCTGAGCTGTGGCTGCCTCTGAGAGGGCAGAAGGGCCGGCCTGCAGGCGATACGCCCCCTGACACCCACTGAGTGAGACCGAGGGCACCCCCACCTGAATCCCCTCTATGAAGCTTAATGAGCTTAAAGGAGCATCGGAGCTGGGGGAATGGTGGCCCCAAAAGACATGTCCCCCGAGAACCTGCGAGTGGGACCTCATGGAGAAAGGGTCTTTACTGATGTAATTAAGTTTAGGTTCTCCAGATAGAATCATGGTGGATTAGAGCGGTCCCTGCATCCAATGACAGGTGCCGTTATAAAGCAGAGAACACAGGGAGACGGATGCCGCGTGAAGAAGAACGGAGCCAGAGTGACGCATCCACAAGCAGAGGAGCACGAAGATGCAGCGAGCCCCAGCATGGCGGAGAGAGGCAGGAAACGCATCCCCCTCAGAGCCACCCCCAGTCTCCCCTCAGAGCCCCCACAGCCCCCTCAGAGCCACTGCATCCCCCTCAGAGCCTCCGGAGGGAACCGACCCCATCACCACTTTGTTTCAGACTTCAGGTCTCCAGAACCGTGAGACAGTATCCGCTGTTTTGAGCCATCCGGTTTGTGGTACCTTGTTAACCTTCTTCTACAACCCTAAAAAGCAAATACCAGCATGCACTATTTTAGATTTTAAAACCAGGATTATAAAAGAACCACAGAAACACAGGGAAAGGCGCGATTATCCAGTTTTCTCGGGCAGTCGCTCTGAAGAGGAAATGTTGGAGAGGAATTTGCACAACAGAAGTGGGTTACTGAAGGGCATTGAGGCAGCCTCCTTGGGGGGCGCGGGTGGTCTGGTGGGTGGGGGTGAGGGGCAAATGGCAGAGAGAGAGAGAGAGAGAGAGGTGGGCCCTGCCTGCATCCTTCACTTCAGGGGTTTGCCTTGGCCAAACAGCTAGTTCTAGCCAAGAAACTTGGGCAGGGGTGATGCAGTCCACTCCTGGCCCTGGCTCATAAGACCCTCGCAACAGCCTCCTCACTTTCCTCCCCGGCCGTGTACTGAACGGAGAGGACGCCAAACCAGAGGACGGCAGCGCCACAGGTGGAAGGGGCTGCTGGATCCCTGAGTGACAGTGTGGAGCCGAGCTCCCTGAGGACTTGCATCACAGCACAGCAGTGCTAAGATATGAGGTGTGCCTCACGGATGCACCTGCTGTGTGCATGGGCCTGGACAGCATCCTACAGAGATCATGAAGCCTCAAAAATGTCCTCACTGGGGCCACAAAGAGATCAACACTGGGCCTCAGGAAGAGCGGTGGTGCAGGTGCGGGGGATGCGTTGCTGTGGGCACAGATCTGCCGCACCGGGAAGGGCAGGGAGGCCACTGAAGCAGCCCAGGCAGGTCTGGATCCCGAGAAGCAGCCTCCTGTCAGGGGCTGTGGAGACCGGAGGAGGCTCCCTGATGCCTCCTCTTCGAAAGACGCTCTGCACCCATGTATTTGTGCTCAATAAGACCCATTTGTTGCACGCAAGCTGGCACAGCTCATAATTCAGGGGCAAAGGAATTGGAAGGACATTTCAGAAAATCTGTAAACAAAAGCAATTATTCTTTTGTGCAGTGGAAAGAAAACACAACCAGCCATTTTTCCTCATTCTCTGCAGTGTCCGTGAGTGTGGCAGCCAAGCCTCAAATGTACTTGCTTCTCAGATTCAGCTCAACCCCCTCCATCAACACAACCACCACAAAACTTGGTATTTTTCTCCTACAAACTTTGCCCAATTTTCCCTTTTCCATCTGAAAAACAAGACTCCAGGCCACGTTCACTATGAGATTACTTAATGACTCTCTGTTGGCCCCGAGGTCTGCCACCTGCCCCCACCGCACTCCCCAAGGAGGAGGCCTGACAAACTCATTCATAGCGAGGCAGAGGACACGGTGATGCAGAAGAACATAAAAGCTGACGCTGGGGCTTTCCCAGGTCCCTGGAGACTGAGGCTACAGGGCGAATGTGCAGTGAAGGGCTCTGGGGTTCCAAAAGCTGTGGGGGGCTTCTGTGGCACAGCCCCTGTGGAGACTCAGGCACCTTCCTGGAGGCAGACCCAGAGCAAAGCTCTGCCTTAATCCTCCAAGATCTTTCTCAGGCCAACTCCAGTTCAACAAGGGACCTGACTTCTAGTTCACGGGGTTGTCCTGAGTGTTACAGAGAACGCGCATGTGAAAGAGAGGTGGAGTGCACACGTGCAAACAACATGCCCTGCACCCCGCAGCAGCCAGGTCTGTGCAGAGAAGCCTGGAGGACAACGTGGCTGGCATGGGCTGCTCCCAAGATGATAGACAGATGGACTGGAGCCAGGACCCTCACAGAGTATTTAGGGGGGTGGTGGCTGCACGGACAGCAGCTCTTCCAATACAACTCGGAGGCTTCATTTCTGCCTCACATGGGGTTTTGTTGCATCTCTCTGAAGGTCCTCTCGTTAAAGACCAGCACCCGCGTAACCCGTCCACAGCCTGCAGCCCTGCACAGAGGCTCAGACTCCTCGAAACCCCAGATGCTCCCCACCACCCGAGCTCCCACCTGCTGTAGGCAGTTAAACCACTCAAACTTCACTTACAGGATTATCCAGCTGAACACCCAGGCTGTACTGCTTAAGGGCTGCAGCCTTGAAAGACACACTCAAAATTACAGCCTCAGAAAGCACGCACTGCAGGGAAAGGCACTCAATAGAACATGCTGAGTGGTGCAATCCACCCTGGGGCCCCCAGAGGAGTCTGCATTTCTCTCCCCGTGAGCTCTTTAATGGTGCACACACAGCACCCAGCACGGAGGGGCTAATTGATTAGCTGTCTCTGCAGCACATGCTGCTGGCGCCATGGCTCACAGCAATTCCACGCTTACACTCACAGCCTGTTTCTCTGCTGTTGGAGCTCTGGTGGGCTGCAGGCTTCACTGCCACAACACACGGGACCCGGTGTCCACCTGCCACCTCCCCACCTGGGGCGCCTCTGGGCTGCTAGGCTGGTAAGAGGTCACCCCTGCCGTGACAGGGTAGCCAGTGCTGGACCTGCGTTCCTCCAGCAAATGGCTGTGAAACTGGACAAATACAGGGCCACTGTGATGGAGCCAACTGTGAGCCATGCTTCCCACCCTCCCCCTCCCACTCTGCCACCATAGGAGGCAGAGCTCGGGGAAACAAGGGCGCAGTGAGAGGAGGGCATAGCACCAGGGCTGGGGTTGGCCTGGGACAACAGAGAAGGAGCTGTGTGGATGCCGGACAGGGGAGATGGGGAGGAAAGTGACCATGGCTCACAGCGGCCTCAACCTCCTGGGCTCCAGGGATCCCCCTGCCTCAGCCTCCCGAGCAGCTGAAACTACAGGTGCACACCACCATGCTCGGCTAGTTTGCTTTCTTTTTAATAGACGAGGTATCACTGTGTTTCCGAAAGCAGTCTCGAACTCCTAAGTTCAAGCAATCCTCCTGCCTCTGCCTCCTAAAATTTGGGCATCACAAACATGAGCCACCACACCCAACTGACAGTTAATTTCTTAAAAAGTTAACTTTAATTTATTCAAAAGATTGTCTAAAGCAAAAGTAGCATTGTGTTACGGAGTTTGTAATGTAGGTAGAGGTTAAACATATGGCAACTGTAACAGGAAGAACAGGGTTAGAGGAATTACACCGTTACAAGTTTCCCACATTTTGTGTGAGGTGAATAGGCTGATAAATTAAGGATTCATTTTGTTGTCTTTAGGGTAACTACTAAAAATGGTAATACCAAGAGGCACAGCTAAAAGACCAACAGAGGTGTAAAACGAAGTACTAAAAAATTTCAATTAACCCAAAAAAGGCAGGAATGGAGGAACAAAGGAACAAAAAAATGACAAATAAAAAACAAATGACAAGATAAGACACTTAGAAAACAAGTAGCAAGATGGGGGATCTACAGCAACCTCATCAATCATTACTGGAATTGCAAATGGAGAAACTCCATGTGCAAAGCAGGGATTGTCACCAAGACCCAACTCCATCTACAGACACCCACGTAAGATACAAAGACAGGTTGGGTGTCTAAAGGATAGAAAAAGATCCACAGTGGTCCAGGAGTGGTCCCAGCATTGTGGTAGGCACAAGAGTGAGGATCACTTGAGTCTTAGAGTTTGACCTGTAATCCAAGCACTTTGGGAGGCTGAGGCAGGCAGATCACCTGAGGTCAAGAGTTCCAGACCAGCCTGGCCAACACGGTGAAACCCTGTCTCTACTAAAAATACGAAAAAAATTAGCCAGGCATGGTGGTTTGTGCCTGTAATCCCAGCTACTGGAGAGGCTGAGGCAGGAGAATTGCCTGAACCCAGGAGGCAGAGGTTGCAGCGAGCCAAGATCGCGCCACTGCACTCCAGCCTGGGCAACAAGAGTGAAACTCCATCTCAAAAAAAAAAAAAAGGAGTTTGAAAAATACAAAAAAAAAATTAGCCTGGTGTGGTGGTGCACACCTGTGGTCTCAGCTACTCTGGAGGCTGAGGTGGAAGGATCACTTGAGCCCAGGAGGTCGAGGCTGTGGTGAGCCAAGATGGCACCACTGCACTCCAGCCCGGGCAACAGAGTGAGACCCTGTCTCAAAAAAAAAAAAAAAAAGGAAAAAAGTGGCCAGGCACGGTGGCTCATGCCTGTAATCCCAGCACTTTGGGAGGCCAAGGTGGGCAGGATCACAACGTCAGGATATAAAGACCATCCTGGCTAACACGGTGAAACCCCGTCTCTACTAAAAAAAATACAAAAAAATTAGCCAGGCGTGGTGGCGGGTGCCTGTGGTCCCAGCTACTCGGGAGGCTAAGGCAGGAGAATGGCGTGAACCCGAGAGGTGGAGCTTGCAGCGAGCCAAGATCGCGCCACTGCACTCCAGCTTGGGCAATGGAGCAAGACTCTGTCTGAAAAAGAAAAAAAAAAGAAAAAAGAATAGAAAAAGGAAAAGATACACAGTGCCAATTCTGTGCATAAGAAAATAGCCCTGGAACACTCACATTAGACCAGGTAGCACCCCTGAAGATAAAGAGGGACATTCCATGATGACACCATGGTCAGCCACTGTCAGGATCACAGAAAAATCCTAAATGCCTAAAAAGATAATAACAGTTTCAAAAAACACGAAGTAAAAACGGACGGAACTGAAAGAATAGAGAAATTCACTGTCCTAGTTGGAGATGTAACAGCTCTCTCGGGACTGCAAGCACAGCGGGTGGGACAGGAAGGATTCGCCGGTTTAAAGAGCACTGTCAACCAGCTGCACCTCATTAACTCTTGGCGAGCATCCCACCCCACAGCTGCAGAACACAAGTAATTTTTGAGTGTATACGGAGCATTTACAAAGATAGGGCTTATGTTAAACAGTAAGAATAAGTCTCTGTAATTTTAAAAAGTGAGATCCTGCAGTTTGTTCCTTGATCAAAATGGAATTAAATCAGTAATAGCAAGATTCCTTTTAGACTCTCCACATATTTGGAAAGTGGGCAATACTCTTCTAAATATGCTTCTCAGAATAGAGGGTTTAAAAAATAAATACACACATAAAGAGATTCTTCTAAATAAAGCATGGGTCAAAGAAGAAATCCAAAGAAAATTAGCACTTATTTCAAATATCCATCAAAATATTACACAAAAATTGTAGCATAGTCTTAGAGGAAGATTTGTGACTTTAAATACTGACGACATTTCAACAAAGAAGGTACACAGTGATCAATACACTCATGAAAGGGTGTTCAACTCACCCGTCACAAGGAAATGCAAACTAACGCCTCACTGAGATCTGCCAAACTTCTGGTGCCGACTGTGACCTGGCCGCGCCTGCGGGGGGCAGAGGAGAGAAGGAGACTGGGGGTGAGGTCCACGTGTCCCAGGCAGGGGGACAGAGGCCAGAAGAAAGTGGCTGCGGGTGAGATCCACATGTCCCAGCCAGGGACGGAGAGGAGGGAGAACCGGACAGCAGCATCTGCTTCCAGCCACGTCACGTGTTTGGAGAGGCGGTGTCACCTCAGTGTGAGGAATGGCCACTCAGGACACGTCTGGACTTCCTCCCAGCCACCTCTCACCAGGGATCAGAATCCCGGCCCCGGGGACCCTCGACCCATAAACATCTTGGGCCTACAGCACCACCAAGCACGCCACAGCCTTGGCCTGGGGCTGCTTCAGAGACACCGCACGGAGGGCTTCTCACTTCCCCAGCCAGGAGCCACCCACGCTGCACCCGGGGAGGCCCCAGTTGCATCTGTCCCACCTTTCAGACCGAGCCAGCCAGAGGCGCCCAGAAAGACTATGCCAGGCCTCAGCTGTGTTGAAACCCAGGTTGGGGACAGTGGCAGGACCTGTGCCAGCGTCTGCCCTTGCTCCTGGCTGGATTCAGTTACTTGGCTGGGCCCCAGTGAAGGCGCAGAGGGCACCACCACCTGCACAGGAAGGGAAGGAAGCCCACAGCAGAGCCAGCACACGTGTGGCCACGCCCCGGCCCAGCCCCCCCTCACACGTGGCCACACCCCCTGCCCAGCCCCCTTACATGTGGCCACACCTCCGATCAGCCCCCTTCCACACGTGGTCACGCCCCCTGTTCAGCCTCCTCGCACATGACCACGCCCCCGTCCAGCCCCCGCACACAGGGCCACTCCTCTAGCCCAGCCCCTCACACGCGTGACCACGCCCCTTAGTCTCCTCGCTCGTGGCCACGCCCCCTGCACGGCCCCCTCGCGCGTGGCCACACCCCTGTCCAGCCACACACACACACACACACACACACACACACACACACACACACACACGCTGGGCCACGCCCCTACCCAGCCCCCTCACACGTATGGGCACGCCCCTGCTCAGCGCCCTCACACGCATGGCCACCCCCCGTCCAGCCCCTTAACGCGTGCTGCCCCGTGCCCACCTACAGCGGCCTCCTCCGCACCAGGGCTGACCCAGTGTGGGGTCCAGGTGGGCTCTGGTAGGCCCCCGGGCAGAGCTGTGCCCCGCGTCACTGAGGATGCACAGAGAAAAAGGAAGGGGCGGAGGAAGCGGAAACCCGAGCAGCGCTGCCTGGGCGTGGCAAGCCCGCTAGTTTTCCCGCCCGCTCATCTGCTTTCCCTCCCTCCATAATAAGTGTGGCACCTGGAGTGTGTGACTTTCATGATTTTCTTTTAGGAGAAACATAACGCAGTCCTCTGTCCCGCCCCTCCTGCAGGGAATGGTCATGGGGGCGTAGTTAACCCCATGCGTGCGGAGGTACACCTTGGAGCCCAGCGCCGACACAGGTCAGGAGAGTGTTAGCCACTGCTGAATGACTCCTGTTGTGTGCAAAATTGTTTTGACTTTTAAAGACTACACACAACCCATTCTGCCATTATTTAGGGTGAATTATACTGCTGGGTCACAAGAAGAAGACGTGGCTCCTCTTGATGCTGAGGGAGGCCTGGAAGTCATTGCTGGGAGCTTGGGAAGAGGGCTCCCCGAGGCAGAGCCTCCCAGGGGACAGAGGCGGCCCAGCGATGACCTGGGAGGTGAGCACAGGTGTGCGGGGCCCCTCGGGGCCCACCATAAGGCCCCACAGCAGGCCCTAACCTCCCCCATGTGTCCTAAGGCAGTTCCATTTGCATTGGCAATGGTCATTTCACTACTTCTGACCTGGAAGCGAGGTATATGTTTGGAGGTGACACGAGGCTCCCAAAGGGGTGCTATAGGGCGCCTTTTCTTATTTTATAAAACTTACATCGAAATGAGCCGCACCCTGAGGGGCAGCCCACCTGCTCACCCCTGGAGGGACTCTCCCAGGGCTGAGGGTCTTCCCCAGATGCTTCACCCGGGCTCCTCCAAGTGTGGGGTGGCCTTCAGTCTGCTGCGAAGAGGATGTGGGGTGTCTGGCAGCCACTCTGCTCTGGATTTGCGGGAACCTCTGCTGCCTCCCTGGTGCCCCTTGATTGGCGCTGGGTCTAGGAACCCCCTCTGGGTTGGAACTGGACTTGAAAAGGTCATTTTCTGCCTGCACCCACCAAGGCCACCTGGGGCTGTGGAGCCAGGAAACCCCTGTCACTCTCCTCAGATGCTGGCCCGAGGGCACCCTCAGTCTCCCTGAGTCCAAATCACCTTTTCTTCCCAAATGACCCAGCAGCCTAGGCCAGCCCCAGCTGGAAAGACTGCTCCCCTCTCTCCTCCGCTCTGCTCCCCTGCCCTCTCTTCCCCTCCCCTCCCTTCCTTTCTTCTGCTGGCGGAAGTCCTGTGCCAATCCCACATCCACATCCGTCACTGCACTCCTGGATCACACCTGGACAGACACAGAACTAGTCCTGGGAGTGATCCCAGGGCCAGGACCCTAGTAATGAGTTATCTAAATGTCTCTGGGTGTCTGGAATTGGTTCTCTGCTCCAACTAGCTTTAAAGGCATTCACGCTCTGTTCCCAGGGGTACCAGGGTGCTAGCTGCCCACAGGAGTAGCATACAGGCACTCAGATTGCCACCTGCAGACATCTGTAATCAAATGGCCATAGGATGCCTGGCCCTGGGCATCAAGGGAAAAATTTAGGGGTGTAGCTGGGTGGGCGGATGCTTCTAAGTGTGCTGGAGAACTTGGGGAAAAAGAGAAAGGCCTCCAATTTAGCCCCCAAAGTCCCAGGCAAACAGGGACACTTGCCATAACAGGTGGAGACATTCCCCAAAGGCTGGGAGGCAGAGTGGAGGCATCGCCAGGACCCCAGCCCTCTGCTGCCTCTCCTGTACAGAGGTACAAAGTCCCAGGCCCCAGAAGGAAAGGGAAGGAGATCCCCGAACCTCTGCTCCAGCTAGGACCTCACTGAGGCCCAGGTGGTGTGACCCTCCACCTACCAGCCAGCCCGGGGCCCGGATCACAGCGTGGCCACTCCTCCTGGGGACTTCCCTGGCCTCCCGCTCCCCTCGCCAAAGCTGCGGGTGAAGCAGCTCTAGCCCACCCTAGCTAGCCATTGTCCAAGGCCAAGGCCCGCCTGTCCACCTGAATACCCAGGGTCCAGGGTAACCAACCTGATCCTAACCCAACCCTGCAACAGGTAGCTACATAAATCAGCACAGACCCTACCCCACCCCCAGACACTTAGAGAGGCATTCGCTTTATCCACCACAGGGTGATGGGAGCTGCTGTCAGAGTTCTCGCCAGACCCTCCCAGGGAACCCCAGACTTGGTTTCAGCAGGAACCACATGTGACCCTGGATGAGCTGACCCCCATCACTAGGAAATGTACCTTAAGTCAGAAAAGTATTCACACTTTGAGTCCCCTCAACTTTGGCTGAACTAATAGCAATTACATTAAAAATGTGTCTGCCCTTCATCTTCTTTGACTTTGATATTAAATATCTCTACTAATAACTCAGTTGCCTAAAGTCGTTACTGCTACCTCATATTTAATTAGGCCCAACCTGGCCACTCCAACCATATAGGAGACTCAGGCAAGAGCTCAGATGTAGGCTCAGGTTAAAGTTCCAGTGTGGATTCAGGTGTGGGCCCAGGTGCAGCCTCAGGTGTAGTCTCGGGTGAGGGCTTAGGTGCAGCCTCAGGTGTAAGCTCAGGTTAAAGTTCCAGTGTGGGCCCAGGTGCAACCTCAGATGAGAGCTCAGGTGTGGGCTCAGGTGCAGCCTCAGACGAGAGCTCAGGTGTGGGATCAGGTGCAGCCTCAGACGAGAGCTCAGGTGTGGGCTCAGGTGCAGCCTCAGACGAGAGCTCAGGGGAGGGCTCAGGTGCAACCTCAGATGAGGGCTCAGGTGTGGGCTCAGGTGCAGCCTCAGATGAGAGCTCAGGTGTGGGCTCAGGTGCAGCCTCAGATGAGGGCTCAGGTGTGGGCTCAGGGTGAGAGTTCAGCTTGCTGCTTGGCATGTGAACCCCAGGCCTACCCTTGGCTTTTGAGCTAGTGTCTGTGCCTGGGCTTTCCCGCGACCATGGCGGTGCATTCAGCACTCACAGTACCGCATTTGCCTTCACAGCGGTGAGTGCACGCATTGCCTTAGCTCCCATTTTTACTAGTGAATGTAACAATTAATTAAATAAATACAATTACTAATGAAACCAATGGTAACAATGCTGATGATGGGTAGTTTTAACAACTCATCTGATTAAGCCGAGAAGCAGTTCAACAGCAATGAGGGCAAGGGAGCGGCCCCAGAGATCCACGCCCTCCCAGGCCTCCCTCGACAACAAGGTCTGCTCTTCCCCCACAGCGGCCACACGGGGGCGCCGCAGGACAGCGCGGAGTGGGCCGGGAGAGGGAGGGGAGCGAGGAGAGGGATGGGGTGGGGGGGCCGGGAGAGGGAGGGGAGCGAGGAGAGAGGGAAGGGGTGGGGGGGGCGGCCAGGAGAGGGAGGGGAGGGAGGAGAGGGATGGGGGTGGGGGGGCCGGGAGAGGGAGGGGAGCGAGGAGAGGGATGGGGTTGGGGGGCGGCCAGGAGAGGGAGGGGAGCAGAGAGAGGGACAGGTTGGGGGGGCCGGAAGGGGGAAGGGGGAAAGAGGAAGGGGAGGGGAGGGGAAGAGAGAAAGAGGGGCGCTGGACAGGTACACGAGGAGGGGAGAGGGACGGGGAGGGGGCTGGGAGGACCGAGAAAGGAGGGTCGGGGGAGGGGTAGGAAAGAAGGACCAGGAAGGGGGTGGGAAGGGGGTGGGGAGTGAGGAGCATGGGGGGTGGGGGGCGAAGGGCGGGGTAGGGGCCCTGGGGAGGTCGGGGAGGGGGGTAGGGGGCAGTTGAGGTCAAGCAGGCCAGGGAGCTGAGCGGTGGCCAGGGAGCTGAGCGGTGGCCGGGGAGCTGGGGGATCCCGGGTGCCTTTGGAAGCCCTGAGGGTGTTCTTCCAGGGTGGGCGGGAACCTGCAAACTTCAGGGCCCCCTGGCAGGGTGCGGAAGGACCCCGAGGGCAGGAGTGTCTGGGCAGCCCTGAGGCAGACAAAAGGAAGCCCCTTGGGAGAGGTGGGGGTCTCCCACCGTTCCTGAGGCTGCCCCCACGGCCTGCAGGGAAGGGGGTCCCAGGTGACAGTCGTGTCCTGTGTCCTGACAGGGTCAGATGCTGGGAGCTGCCCGATGGCAGGGGTGGGCTGGGAGCCATCCTGAAGTCTGAGCTGGGTGGGTTGTAGCGACGGTGCCAGCCTTCCCTTCTTCCTCTTCGGTGGCCACATTTTAGTAGCCATGCGACCAAGCGAGGTCACTGCAGGGTGGCCCCTCTTGTGCTCATATAGGGACACCTGTGCACAGGCTCCTGGGGTGGGTGGCACTGAGGGCAGGGGCGTGGATCCAGAACACAGAGCCTCCCTGCGACCTCCCTGCCCTGGGCCCCAGAACTCACCCACCCTCTGGGCCCCAGCAAGCTCCCAGCCAGAGGTGGCCTGGCAGGCGATGGGAGAAGGGCAAGGTCAGGGCCTTGTGCCCCCTGCCTGGGGCCTCAGGTGTTCCTGTGATTCCCCCACCCACAGCGCCTGAGACCACCGCCCCATAGTGCTGGGCAGAAGGGGTGGGGAGGGGCACCTGCTGTCAGCCCGAGGCGGCCAGGCTGCCCACCCAGGAGGCCCCCAGAGCCCCTGCCCCACTAGAGGAAAGCAGATTCCCCAAACCCATCCCAGGACGAGGCAGGCTTGGGCCCTCTGAGTCGGCGTGTGGGGCTCCTGCCACCCTGCAGTTGCGCCCCCGGGGCCCTGGACTCCAGTTTCTCCTGGGACCCTCGTCCCTGCAGTTGGCCCCTGAGGCCCTGGATTGGGGTTTCTCCTGGGACCCCCGTCCCTGCATTTCGGCCCCTGGGACCCTGGATTCCAGTTTCTCCTGGGACCCTCGTCCCTGCAGTTGGGCCCCTGAGACCTGGATTGAGGTTTCTCCTGGGATCCTCGTCCCTGCCGTTGGGCCCGAGACCTGGATTGGGGTTTCCCCTGGGACCCTCGTCCCTGCAGTTGGGCCCCTGAGACCTGGACTGAGGTTTCTCCTGGGATTCTCGTCCCTGCCATTGGGCCCCTGAGACCTGGATTGGGGTTTCCCCTGGGATCCTCGTCCCTGCAGTTGGGCCCCTGAGGCCCTGGATTGGGGTTTCTCCTGGGACCCTCGTCCCTGCAGTTGGCCCCTGAGACCTGGATTCAGGTTTCCCCTGTGTGGGCAGCAAGCCACCCAGGCACCGAGGCAAGACACCGAGGACACGAGCTGTTCCAGTATAATAAAATATAAAACAAGAATAGTTATACCAGATATAGATCTTAGATATGATTATATATGAATATCATTAATCATTAGTTGCTAGTAATTACTCTTTATTCCAATATTATAATAATCCTCGCTCTACAATCATAACCTAGGAAAAACCAGGCCATACAGAGATAGGAGCTGAGGGGACATAGTGAGGAGTGACCAGAAGAGTGCGAGCCTTCTGTTATGCCCGGACAGGGCCACCAGAGGGCTCCTTGGTCTAGCGGTAACGCCAGCGTCTGGGAAGACACCAGTTGCCAAGCGGACCGTGGTCTAGCGGTAGCGAAAAGTGTCAAGGAACAACACCCGCTACTTAGCAGACCAGAAAAGGGAGTCTCCCTTTCCCCGGGGGAGTTTAGAGAAGACTCTGCTCCTCCACCTCTAGTGGAGGACCTGACATCAGTCAGGCTCGCCCACAGTTATCCGGAGGCCTGACCGTCTCCCTGTGATGCTGTGCTTCAGTGGTCACGCTCCTAGTCCGCCTTCATGTTCCATCCTGTACACCTGACTCTGCCTTCTAGATAGCAGTAGTCAAATTGGGGAAAGTACTAAAAGTCTCTGATATGCAGAAATAATGGCGTGAGCTGTCTTTCTCTTTGTCTCCTCTCTCTGCCTCGGCTGCCAGGCAGGGAAGGGCCCCCTGTCCAGTGGACACGTGACCCACATGACCTTACCTATCATTGGAGATGACTCACACTCTTTACCCTGCCCCTTTTGCCTTGTATCCAATAAATAACAGCGCAGCCAGACATTCATTCGGGGCCACGACCGGTCTCCGCGCATTGGTGGTAGTGGTCCGCAGGGCCCAGCTCTCTTTTCTTTTATCTCTTTGTCTTGTGTCTTTATTTCTACACTTTCTCGTCGCCACACACAGGGAGAAGCCCACCGACCCTGTGGGGCTGGTACCTGCACCCCTGGGACCCTCGTCCCTGCAGTTGGGCCCCCGAGGCCTGGATTCTGGTTTCTCCTGGACCCTCATCCCTGCAGTTGGGCCCCCGAGGCCTGGATTCTGGTTTCTCCTGGACCCTCATCCCTGCAGTTGGGCCCCCGAGGCCTGGATTCTGGTTTCTCCTGGACCCTCATCCCTGCAGTTGGGCCCCCGAGGCCTGGATTCTGGTTTTTCCTGGACCTTTGTCCCTGCAGTTGGCCCCCGAGGCCCTGGATTGGGGTTTCCCCTGGGACCCTCGTCCCTGCAGTTGGGCCCTGAGACCTGGATTGGGGTTTCTCCTGGGACCCCCGTCCCTGCATTTCGGCCCCTGAGACCTGGATTGGGGTTTCTCCTGGGACCCCTGTCCCTGCAGTTGGCCCCCGAGGCCCTGGATTGGGGTTTCTCCTGGGACCCCTGTCCCTGCAATTGGGCCCTGAGACCTGGATTGGGGTTTCTCCTGGACCCTCATCCGTGTCACCCGCAGGCTGGCTGCTGTCTCCAGCCTCTGTGCAGGGTGGAGCCTCCTGGGGCCGCTGGGGTCTCCATCGGTGCCCGGTAAGCAGAGGGTGCCGGGTTGGGACAAGAGGTTCTGCTGCTTCCCCTTGAAGCCCCCGCACCACCTGCATCCGAGCCCACCACAGCTGTGTGGGAGAACGCCCCCCCTGCCACTTCTCCCCCGCACACCCCAGGGGTCCAGGCCAGCCTGGCAGGCAGAATCTCTGGGCTGGCCCCCCTCCCCACCAGGGGCCCTGGACGCGGTTTCCCCTTTCTACAGGGCAGGGCTTCCCCAGTCACAGACCCCAGGGTCTCCCCAGGCAGTTCCCAACCTTCCAGGACCCTCAGGGCTGACCCTGCCTGAGAGGCCGGACAGTCGGACCCAGACACTGCCACTGTCAGGCCCCCACCTGGCTGGGACAGCCGGGAATCCCAACACCCCCGCCCCTAGGAAATGGAAACTGGACTCTTTTAAAATGAAAATCCAGTGTGTGGCTTTGAGTAACAGGAGAGTTTTCTGTCATCTGCAATGGATAGAATTTCTCAAACCCAGACAAGCTCAGAGCCCCACCGTGGCCTCCCACCCTCTGGATGAGAGGTGCCAAGATCCCTCCAGAGGCTACACTGAGGCTGGAGGGAAGAGGGAGGGCGTGACAAGCCAGTCTCAGTGGGGGCTTGAGTCTTTCCTGGAGAGAGGTAAGTGGCCTCTTCCACAAGACCCCTGGGTCCACACAGGAGGGAGGTTAATTTGCACCTGACACGGAGCCGGAGCCAAAGCTTCCTCTCCTATCCCAGGAGCCACACATGGCCAGGAATTCGGAATCCCCAAGAGGGAGCTCTCCCCAGGGGAAGAAGCGGTGGGCGTGAGGGGCCCCTGCAGGGTGGAGGGACAGAAGGACCGGCCCAGGTTTCTCTCACCTGGAAACCTCCCCTAGGTGGAGGGCTGCGTGGCTGGCTTTGCTTGGTTTTATTGAAGTTACACACATAGGAAGAGGCTGGAGCACACAGGCACAGCTCAGGGCAGACCCACAAAACCAGGGGCAAGAGACAGGAGGGGCTGAGCTGCTGGCGGGGGCGGGGTCTCAGAGGTGAGGCGGGGTCTCGGAGGCGGGGGGCGGGGTCTCGGAGGCGGGGGGCGGGGCCTCGGAGGTGAAGCGGGGTCTCGGAGGCGGGGGGCGGGGCTTCAGAGGCAGGGGTCTCAGAGAAAGGGGTCTCGGAGGTGGAGGCGGGGTCTCGGAGGTGGAGGCGGGGCCACGGAGGCGGGGCGGGCATCTCAAAGGTGGGGTTGGGGGGTGTCTCAGAGGTGAGGCGGGGTCTCAGAGGCAGGGCGGGGTCTCGGAGGCGGGGGGCGGGGCCTCAGAGGCGGGGGTCTCAGAGAAAGGGGTCTCGGAGGTGGAGGCGGGGTCTCGGAGGCGGGGCGGGCATCTCAAAGGCGGGGTTGGGGGGTGTCTCAGAGGCGAGGCGGGGTCCCAGAGGCGAGGGTTGCCTGAACTTCGGGGCGTCACACTTGCTGCGGGTAGATCCCGGGGTTCAGCCGACACATGCACATCAGCCAGAAGACGCACACGGTCATGGACACCCAGATCCAGAAGTCCTCGTAGGGCTCGGCGTGCGGCCTACGGCAGGCACGGCCAGGGCGCTCGTCTTCCTCCCGGCGGCACCCACAGCGGGCCTTGTGGAACCTGGACCTCAGCTGCCTCTTCTGGTAATAGCCTTGGGAGAAGCAGCCATTGCCCTGGGGGCCGTAGGCAACGTGGCCACCGCCCTTGCGCTTTATGACATCGAAGACTGCGAAGGGGATGGTGATGCAGCCCTCACTAACCGTGATGGGGCCCTCGGCATTGGCCTCCAGAGGGGCGTCGTGACCCGCGGTGACCAGGCCACCTTCCTTCTCTTTGCCTTCAGTGATGTCAGTAAAGGCATCTTTGCCTTGGACATCAGCAGGGAAGGGGAGGGCAAGGGAGCCCTTGACCTGGGAGGGGAGGCCACCAGCATTGGTCTCTGGCAGGGCGTCGTGACCCACTGGGACGAGGCCCTGGCCGCCTCCTTCCTTCCCGTTGCCTTCAGCCACCTCAGCAACGGCATCCTTGACATCAGTAAAGATGAAGGGGAAGGTGATGGAGGCCTCTTTAGTGGCCACAGGGCCATCGGTGGGCTCCGAGAGGGTGTTGGTGAAGATGCTGGTGAGGGAGGAGGGGAAGGTGAGGGAGCCCTCCCCGCTGGCCGAGAGGCCCACACAGTAGAACACGGTTGGCGTGTGTTTCCCCACAGGGACGAGGCCATTGTTGAGGGAGATGGGGCCCCAGCCCTGGGCCACGCCAACCGGGCTGCAGAGGGAGCCCCGGCCTTTGAAGAGGAAGCCCTTGAGCTCGAAGGTCTGGATGCTGCTGCCGAGGAGGCCGGGGCCGTGGAAGAGGGGGTCTCCAATGGCCACCGGGAAGCCTTTGCCCCCAGGCATGGCCACTGAATCCCCAGACAGGAAGATGGAGCCCTGGCCGATGACCAGGGCCTCACAGCTGCCAGTCACAGGGAGAGAGGCCCCCGCAGGGGGGGCAGGGCCCTCAGCGATGGGCACCTGGTCATTGCTGGTACCCACAAGGGAGAAGGGGATGGCGATGACAACGCCACCCTTGCCAAGGTCGTCGCCAGGGGTGGACAGCGGTTTGCCCCTGGAGACGGTGCCAGTGCCACCCCAGGCCGTGGCGGGGAAGTTGCCTTTTGTGGCGTTGGCGCTCCAGGCGGGGTCTGGGGCCTTCTGGAGGAAGCAGACCCCCAGCTCACAGGCCTCACAGCAGCCCTCATAGGCCTCCCTGGGGTGCCGGGCTGGGCCGGGGCCATCCCCGTAGCAGTCCTGCAGGATGTGCAAGACCAGCCTGCTGAGGAAGGGCTGCTCGCCCGGGGGCCTCACCTGGCAGTCCCCGGGTGCGGGGCACAGCCTGCACCGCTGGCCCCAGATGCGCATCTTCACCAGCCCCCGGTGGCTGGCCCTGTCCCACCACAGGTGGAAGAGGACGTGCACATGGGCCGAGTCCCAGGTCCCCGGACAGTGACCGCACTGGAGCCTGCGGCGGGGAAAGAAGTGTGTGTGAGTGCAGGAGAAAGAGGCCCCACGCCCAGCCCTCGCACTCTGCTCTGCGGCCTCCTTGCCCATCCGACCCCAGCGCCTCGCTGCCCCCTGCCTCACATCCCACACTCAAACCTCAAACCTCACCCCCCAGCCACCCAGGGCCGCGGCCAAGGCAGCCTAGCACCTGCTCCTGCCTGTGCCGAGGCTCTGAAACCACCAGCCCCTCGGCCACACACAGGCAAAAGCAGGCCCATGCGCACTAGCCCGCAGCCCCCTCATGTGGAGCACTGAGAAGCAAAGCAAACCTCCTCTCAGCAGTTTTTCAACAAAACCCGCTCCAGCCTGGCCTCCGTGAGGCGTCGGCAGCCTGCCACCTGCGTGGCTCTGCTGGTGTTTTGTGAGTTGGGGTTAACACAGGAAGAGGCAGGCCTGCCGACACACTTAGGAGGGGAAAAGCATGCATGTGGGGGCTGTCCCTGGGGGCTCAGCAAGTGGGGGTCCCTGTCCTGACTGAGAGGAGGCGATCCAGGAGGTCGCCTGCCAGCTGAGGGGAAGGATGTCACGGAGGCCTGCGGTCATGGCCCGGGCAGCCCTGCTGGGCGTCACCAGGCGAGGAGAGGTTTGGGGAGAGCACTGGGAGGGATTGGCTTGTCCATGGCGGTCATCAGACCGGTGACCATTTGCTAGCCACACAAGCAGCTGTGAGCTTCAGGGAACCCTGCATGAGTGAGAGGCTATGATTCAGTTCCAGGCAGTGGAAGTTTCTGGATGACAGAATGTTCTATAGCCACACTGCCCTGCCTGCAGCCTCCAACCACACTGGCCACAGAGCCCGTGGACACGTTCGTGCTGGAGGAACTGAACTGCTGACTTTATTTAAATGGGACTGAGGAGCCAAAGCCACGGGCGCTGGGGCTGCATGTTGGGGCAGCCGTCCTCAGTTCTCTCCCGCCAGCTGGGAGCCGCTCAGAGCCATCTCCACCTGGCTGTGGGAACAGTGATGTGCTTCCCAGCACTTCTCAGACCCCAACACGGGTTATTACTTTCCCAGCTTCTGAAAAAGCTGGGATTCTGCACACACCTGGCCCCAGGGGTCTCAGGCACTGAGGAGCTGTGTCAAAGGGCAGGACGACTCCCCCTTTGCCCAGGGTGTCTCCACAGAGGGACGGACCAGCCAGCAGCCTGGGGGCCTGTCAGGCCGGGCATCTGCGAGGATGTGGAGCTGCCCCGCGCCCCTCCCAGCTGGCACCCGGCCGAGCTGTGGATGCCTTGCCAGTTGGAGAAGCGCATGGCGCCCGCCCTGCTGCGCTGACGGCACCACAACCGTGATGACGGCCTGTGAGGCTCACTTGTGACCCACAGCCACCCCGGGCCCCCGATCAGGGCCGAGCACCCCGCTGTGTGCAACACAGGGCCGGATGGTGACCACAGGCTCCGGCACGCCCCAGGGCCCACCTGTCAGCACTGATGGCTGCGAGACCACGGCAGTGCCATGGAAGCAGGAGATGAGCCTGTGTCCAAGGGCAGCGCTGGCCCAAGGAGCCGAGTGAGGGAAACCAAACTCTCCATGAGGCACCCGCCATGTCTTCCCCGGGACCCCTGCGTCAGCAGCCGTGTGCCCAGCATGGCGAGGCAGGGGCTCCGGCGGGAGAAGGAGCACCCAGCCCCACCCTCCCGTCTCGGGGACAAGACGAGGCCCAACAGCCCCACCCAGCCTCTGGGACCACCCAAGGTCCCGTGGAAAAGCACCTTCAGCCCCCTGCCTCTCCCAGGGTCCCCAACCTCTGGCCGCACCTCGAGAGCCCCACCAGCAGGTACTGGACACCACCGCCGTCCAGGCATCCCGGGACCAGGCTGTGCTCAGGTAGCAGAACCCAGACGTCCTGGGGCTTCCTCTCGGCCATGGCCAGGGTGAAGGTGCTGGCCCACATGTCTGCCCCAGCCCGGTCCATGCTGCCGCCTGGCTCCGCAGTGTGGGCTGAGGGCTGCGCCCGCCGGGGGCCCAAGGAAACGTCCCCGCATCCCGCGCCGGCCAATCAGCCACCTTGACAACAGCATGGTCTCCATGGCAACCAGATTTGTCTCCGAGAAATGGGAAGCAGAAAGGAAAAATACAATACAATGCAATCTCCCATGACCCCGCCCCCCAGAGAGCATCCCTGTGGCAGCACCGTGGTGGTGGTGGTGGGCGTGGGCCCGTGGACACGCAGGGGCCTCCCCAGACCCGTGCGTGTAGAGGCCCGGGTGTTTTCACACATCGCACCAAGGAATCATCCACAGCCCTCTCTTTCTAGTGCACATCAGGAGCGGTGGCCCACACTCATCCCTTGCTGAACACTTGGTATTTTTCCAGCTTGTGGCTATCATGTAACTTATTCACTCAGCTTCTCTCTGCAAACAGCACTAATGCTTTTCACACAAACAAAGCTGAGAAGAACTTTATAGAACGTGTATCATTGCAGATTGTCCCGTGGGTGTATTCTCTTAAACTTTTTACTAGTGAGAAATATAAAATATTTACATAAAATGCCTAAAACATAAATGCAGAGCTTCACAAATTATTCTAAAGTCTTAAGTCACCACGTCCTATAGGAAGAAACAAAACCTCGCTCTGCCAGCCTCCAGAGCTGGCTGCCTGTTCCCTCCCGATCTCAGCCCGCGGCCCCACCCCCACCCCCTGCCCTCCTGGCAGAGGTGCCACCAGCCTGGCCGTGCCTGCACAGACAACGTTGAGGCTTCAACACCTATGATGCCTCCCTCACCGAGCCCTTTAGCTGTGCAGCTTCTGAGCTTTACATAAACAATTCATGCATGTGCCCAGCTTCTCACGCCTTTTCAGGTTGTTTAATTTCTGAGATTCAACAGCATTGCTGTGCGTGGCAGCCACCTGTCATGGCACAACAAGAAAGGGTGAGCTGAGAAGGAGCCGGGACGTGCAGGGGCGGAGACAGCCAGCTGATCCCTGCAAAACCTCAGCACAGATCTGCCCCCGGGAGGCTCCCGGCCACCCGGCTCTCCTCACAGCTCCCATCTCGCCATCTCTCTGCCCTGCACACTGAACAATCTCTTCTCATTTTTCTACCACTTCACACATTATCTCCTCGTCTCTGTCGACTCTGCAGCTAATGCTGGCAAGCGCCTTGTCATAGTTTTCATTTCTGAACCTTCTTTTCGGCCCTTTCAAACCTGTGACATCTTCCCGCCTTGCAGCTAGGTGTGACTGCAAGATAGAAGAGGAAGCCAGTGGGACGCACTCTGGGAAGGGGCCTCCATACAGGGCCAGACTGCCAGGGAAAGCCCCGCGTTTCTCATCCCAGCTTCATTTTCTTCTATCCATCAGTGCTGGGATGATGGCCGCACTCCAGCCTGTCTTAGACCTGCCTCAAGCACAGAGCTGTGAGCCCAAGGAGCAGGAAGGCGGGAGCCCGGGGCTGTGGTGACAGATGGAGTCGTCACACCACTGGAGGGTCGCCCACCTCTGGGTTTCCTGTTCACACGAGAAGTAAGCCAGCTGCCACTGTGG
Source organism: Homo sapiens (assembly GCF_000001405.40). Classification (NCBI taxonomy): domain Eukaryota; kingdom Metazoa; phylum Chordata; class Mammalia; order Primates; family Hominidae; genus Homo; species Homo sapiens. The sequence goes on along the minus strand of NT_187527.1, from coordinate 80,283 downwards.
TCTCGAGGCACTGTTCTCTGGCACTGTGGATGATCACACAGCTAGCCGGAGCAATCCTAACTCACTCGCCGGGCTGTATCTAAGGTCCTGGGGTTTGCTGGTTGGCTCCGGGCCACTGTGCGTGTGTGGGCCCCTTGTGGTCCTGGTCGTGTGCCCCCGCAGGGGTCTAAGAGACACCTACTGTCCACTTGCCTCCAAAAGCCTCGGTCCACAGGGGTCCCTGCAGAGGACCTCCTCCCACCACAGCCCCCCAGAGCCAGTGTTTCCTGGCTGCTTCCGTGCCACGCTGGGGCCACAGCCCTGCCTGCCAGTCCCACCTCTCAGGCTCCTCAGCCCTGGAGGCCACACCTGGCTCTGAGTTTAGGGAAAAGCTTTGGAATGATGACTGACCACAGTCACCCAAAATAACCTTTTGGATGGCAATTCCGGCCCTTATGAAATGCAGGGAGCTGGTTGCCCGGGCATTATTCGCTCAAGAATTGTTGAGTTTTCCTTAGACCCATCCCAGAACACCTCCAGAGGCCTGGGCGGCAGACAGCAGAGAGGGCATCCTGTCCACGCCTCTGTCTGACTGCCCATTTGTCTGTCTCCCAAACCCACAAGCCACGCCCTGCAAGAGCTGCTTACGTGGCCCCCTCACAAATCAGCCAGCCATGAGCACCCCCTCTTCTTCGGCGGGGATGGATGAGGCAGGTTGTGCACAGCACCCACGGGTCCCTGCAACATGTGGCAGGGTCCTCCTTGGGCCTTCTGCATCAGCGCCCACCTGGAGCCGGCCACTGGAGCCTCTCTCCAGGCATGTGTGGTCCCTCCAAGGACAGGCCCTAGGACCCAGGCCTGGGGCAGACGCCTTCTGACCCCGCTCCCTGCCCAGCCTCCCCGAAGGCTGGCTCCAGGACAGGGTGAGATGGGGGTGGGAGATTGGGCCACAGGGAAAAGAAACGATCAGGGGAAGCCGGGTGCCCCTTCAGCACTGCTGCCCACCTGGTGTGGTGGCTTAGCGCTCCCTCTCCCCGCAGACACGCGCTCCTTCTGGGGCCCCTTCCTCACACGCTGGTACCCGTCTTCCTGAGCTCAGCTTCTGGGGAGGGCAGCTGGCAGGCCGGGGACAGCCCTCCCTTGGGAAGCAGAACTTGCAGCTCAGGTGAGTCCCACCACAGTCTCCTGCCAGAACGGATGCACTGCCTGGGCCTGGAGGAGCAGAGGCAGCAGCTCCCGGCGAGGGAGGAGCAAACGCCAAGGCCCGGTGGGGCCAGAGGACCGGTCGGCTGACGGGATGGTGGTCCTTGCTCAGAGGGAGAAAGAGACGGGCAGGAAAAGGAGCCGAGCAGAGAACGGTGGCCGTTCGCAGGTGCTGGGGCTCACCCTCCCCCCACAGACCTCAGCTGGGGCTCACCCTCCCAACACAGACCTCAGCTCGTGGCTGCAGCGGCAGGGACAAGGCCGCCTCCCAGACCCCAGGCCCTGCAGTCCCACAGGCCCCACCGGCAAGGGGTTGTTCCTGGCCCAAGGCTCCGTGTGGCTCTGCCCCAGCGCTGCCCAGGCGGGCAGGGATCCCAGGACCGGCAGCTGGTGGGGGGACGCAGCCTCTGTCCAGCCATTCTGTTGCTGAAAGCGCTTCCACTGTCCAAGAGGCCCCTTGCTCTCCCCTCCAACCCGCAGTCCTGCTGGGGCTGGGGAGGCCATTCCGAAGGAGGAATGCAAGGGACCTCCTGCACTCGCCCTCGGAGCATCCCTCCCTGGGGGACCGCTCACTCACGCTGCTCATCCCCCGCAGCTCAGCATCCCCCGCAGCTCAGCATCCCCCGCAGCTCAGCATCCCCCGCAGCTCAGCATCCCCCGCAGCTCAGCATCCCCCGCAGCTCAGCATCCCCCCGCAGCTCAGCATCCCGCGCAGCTCAGCATCCCGCGCAGCTCAGCCCGGGTTCTTCGGCTTTGGAGCCCAGCAGGGGGACCAGCAGGGGGACCAGCAAGGGGCCTGAGTGACACCCACTGCCCTGGAGTGAGAAGGCAGGGGCGCCACACACACACAGGACACCACACACCACACACCACACACACCACACACACTACACATACCACACACACACTACACACACCACACACACCACACAAACACCACACATGCCACACACGCCACACACACCACACACTACAAGCCACACACACCACACACTACACACACTACACATACCACACACACTACACACACCATACACTACACACACCAGACACACTACACACACCACACCACACACACCAAACACACACATCACACAAACCATACACAACACGCACTACACACACACACTCTACACACACCACACACAGCACACACACCATACCACATACACCACACACACTACACACACCACACGCACCCACACACACCACACACTACACACACCACACAACCAAACACCACACATGCCACACATGCCACACAAACCACACACTACACCAGACACCACACACACCACACAACCAAACACCACAAGACACATATGCCACACACACCACACACTACACACCACACACTACACACACCACACACTACATACACTACACACATCACACACTACACACACCACACACTACACACACCACACATAAACGCACATTACACACACCACACACACACACTACACACACCACACTTACAACACACACCACCCTACACACACATCACACAAACCATACACAACACACACTACACACACAACACACTCTACACACACCACACACAGCACACACACCATACCACATACACCACACACACTACACACACACCCACACATCACACACACTACACACACACAACACATTACACACACCACACACAGTACACACACCACACACACTACACACACCACACACAAACGCACACTACACACACCACACAACCAAACACCACACACACCACACACTACACCACACACCACACACTACACATACCACAAACACACACTACACACACCACAGAAACACCACACATTACCGCACACACCACACACACTACACATACCACACACAAACACACACGCCAAACACGCCACACACAGTACACACACCACACACACTACACAACCAAACACCACACACACACTACACACACGACACACACCACACACACGACACACACCACACACTACATAAAAACACTACACACACCACACACACCAAACACCACACATGCCACACACACACCACACACACTACACTACACACCACACACACTACACCCACCACACACACAACACACCACACACACCACACACTACACCACACAACACACACAACACATACTACACACACCACACACACACTACACCCACCACACACCACGTACACACTACACACACCACACAATGCACACTACACACACCAAACACATTACACCACACACCACACACACTACACACACCACACACACCACACACAAATGCACACTACACACACCACACACACCACACAAATGCACACTACACACACCACACACACCACACACTACACCACACACCACACACACCACACATTATGCACATCACACACAGCTCACACACAACACAGCACACATACCACACACACTACACACAACACATCACACAAACCACACACACAACACACTACACACACACCACACTCTACACACATCACACACAGCTCACACACAACATACACCACATACACTACACACACACCACACACCACACACAGCACACACATATCACACACAAACACACACAGTACACACAGCACACATGCTACACACACAACACACACTACAACCACACACACTACACACACACCACACACACTACACACACCAAACACCACGTACACTACACACAACACACATAACACATACTACATACAACACACAATATACATGAACAGAGATACACACCAACACACACAATACACATACCACATACAGTACACATAAACACACACACCTACACACACACATATACATGTACACACTGGGAGATTTAGAACATAAATTGACATCTAAACTACTAACCACATTCTAGAAAGTTTAGAAAACAGCGGGGGGGGTGGCTAGAAATCACCTGCCACCCCCCCTTAACAAACAGCCCAACGATTTTTTTGTGTGTATAATAAATTGTGGAAATATCTCATTCAATTTTTAAAAAGTTTATTCTTAAATTGGGCAGATAAATTGGGTGTTATTTTTTAACTTCTGGGAAATGTTTCGAAAACAGGATAGAACAGAGAGTTTTTATTTGCAAACACTATTAACCATTTCCTGTTCCAACCTCAGAAATTGCTGTGAATCAGGCGCTGCCTCCCCACCGCGGTGCCCTTGGCCCGGCGGCTGCAGCGTGGTTTCCACCCGGCCAGCCGGGCGCCCGGCGCCTCCCACTGCAGAAGCAGTTTCGGGATGGTCCTGCTGTTTCCAGTGCTTCCCCGGACCGTCCCTGCGCGGATGGAAACTTCCCACTGGCCCGAGCGAGCACGGGGATTCCCCTCCCCTCGCCACTTTCCATCGCTGCTGGCTCATGTTCCAGCACACGGGGCCCATCTCACCACTGCCGTGCGCCGGGCGCCATGCGTCATGACGTGCAGGCTCCTTGGAAACTGTAGGGTTTCTCTTCTCAGTCCAGGAGCATGGGAGGGCCCCCAGCGAGGGGAACCTTCTCCAGGCCCCTGAGAGCAAGGCCCCAGTCTCGGAAAGCAGTCCTAGATCCCCTGGCCTCCTGGGCGCTCTGGCCCACAGAGGGCTTCCGGGGCCTTTAGTCATAGTCACCAAGAACTGGAGTCCACCCAGACTCACTTAAACTGAAGAATGGCTGACTAAATTGTGGTGTGGTACGTACATCCACACCACAGCCTGGATGGCTCGGCACAGAGAGGAACGGGCTGCTGAAACACACGCGCTGGAGGCATCTCCAGGGAATCCCGGAAGGATGCGTACTGCACCTTCCCACGGCTGTCGCTGGAATGAAACAGTGATGGGGGTGGAGGGCAGGCTCGTGGCCACCAGCAGGGAGGTGGGTGTATTGCCAAGGGCACCCGGAGGACCCCGTGGTGATGGGGACGTTCTGCAGCTTCGCTGTCAGGGGATGCAGGAGCCTTCGCTTGTGCCCACATTGTGCAGCCTTTGATAGGCACACATTAGCCAGAAACGGGGACTCAGGATGGGATCGAGGTGTCACATCAAAGTCATTAACCTGGTTGTGACGTTGTCCTGTGGTTTTCCAAACTGTTATCATTCAGAGAGACTGAGCAGAGTGTATGAGGAAACATCTGTGTAATTTCTTACAACTGCAAGTAAATCTACAATTATCTCAATTGTAAATGATACAATACTCAACCAAAACATACAACCATCAGCCAGGTGTGGTGGCTCACGCCTGTAATCCCAACTCTTTGGGAGTCCAAGGTGGGAGAATTGCTGGAGGCCCGGAGTTTGAGACCAGCCTGGGTAACATAAAGAGACCTCCTCTGCCCCCACCCCAAATTCTACAAAAAAAAAAAATGTTAGATATGAGCTGGCCACGGGGTGCACGCCTGTGGTCCCAGCTACTCAGGAGGCTGAGGTCGGAGGATCGCTTGAGCCCAGGAGGTCGAGGCTGCAGTGAGCCAAGATCACACCACTGCACTCCAGCCTGGGTGCAGAGCAAGACCCTGTCTCTAAAAGAAAATAAACAGACAAAAACCACATACAACTTTGCTTGTTGTAAATTATCTTTTAACTGAATGCCCTGGATTGAATCTGGCTGCTGCCATCCCAGGGCCAGTGATTTGGATGGGGTATGACCCTCTGTGAGGAAGGAGCAGGCGGTGGGGGAAGGGCCTGGGTGTCCAGGTTCCCTGGGAAGGAAGGCTGAGAAAAGGAGATGGGGGAGGGGTGCGCAGGGCCGGCCAGCCAAGGGCCCCTTAGCCCCATCTACCCTGCTCCCCGGACTCCGCCTGCCTTTCCTCCTCGTGACAGAAGACAGTGGAAGCCTACTGGGTGGAAGGCACGGGCTTAGGATGTGTGTGGGAGGAAAGTGTGTGTGCTGGGGAGCATGTATGTTTGGGAGTTGTGTGTGTTGGAAATCGTGTGTTGGGGATTGTGTGTATATTGCAGATTTTGTATGTGTGTTGGGGATTGTGGTGTGTGGGTGTTGTAGATTGCGTGTTGGGGATTGTGTTGGGGATTGTGTATGTGTTGGGGGTTGTGTGTGTGTTGGGGATTGTGTGTGGGGGAGATTGTGTGTGTGTGCTGGGGATTGGGTGTGTTGGGGATTGTGTGTGTGTTGAGGATTGTGTGTGGGGGAGATTCTGTGTGTGTGCTGGGGATTGGGTGTGTTGGGGATTGTGTGTGTATTGGGAATTGTGTGTGTGTTGAGGATTGTGTGTGTTGGGGATTTGTGTGTGTGTTGGGGATTCTGTGCATGTTGGGAGTTGTGTGTGAGTTGGGGACAATGTGTACAGAGGATTGTGTGTTGGAAATTTTGTGTGTGCGTTGGGAATTTTGTGTATGTGTTGTGGATTGCGTGTACGTTGGGGATTGTGCATGTTGGGAATTTTGTGTGTGTGTTGAGAATTGTGTGTGAGGGAATTGTGTGTGTTTGAGATTGTGTGTGTATTGGGAATTGTGTGTGTGTTGAGGATTGTGTGTGTTCTGAGGATTGTATGTGTTGGGAATTTTGTGTGTGTGTTGAGGATTGTGTGTGTTGGGGATTCTACGTATGTTGAAAGTTGTGTGTGTGTTGGGATTGTGTGTGTGTTGTGGATTGTGTGTGTTGGGAATTGTGTGTGTGTGTTGAGGATTGTGTGCAGGGGGATTGTGTGTGTTGGAGATTGTATGTGTTGGGAATTTTGTGTGTGTGTTGGGGACTGTGTATGTTTTGGGGATTGTGTGTGTTGGGAATTTTGTGTGTGTGTTGAGGATTGTGTGTGGGGGGATTGTGTGTGTTGGAGATTGTGTGTGTGTTGGGGACTGTGTGTGTGTTGGGGACTGTGTGTGTTGGGGTGTGGTGTGTTGGAAATCGTGTGTTGGGGACACCGTATGTGTTTGGGGGAGGGTGTCAATAAGTGGTCTGGAGTGTGATATTGGGGTGCAGGCTCCATGAGTCCCCACCCCACACCTGAGCCCTGGGACCGCCTATCTGCTTCGGGGTGGGGTCCCAGGACCCTGTAGGTTCAGCCTACTAGTCCAGGCCCAATGCCCAATGCCTGCATCCCTGCAGGCCCTGTGCTCTCCAGGCTCAGACCCCTCGCAGCCCTGCAGACCCTCCCTGGGTCCATGTGTCTCTTTGCAGGTGCTCCAGCGAGTAGCAATGTGGAGAGACCATCAGGCAGCCCTGGCCTCAGTGGCCGCAGTCCCCTGGCTCCACGCTGGGCCCACCCCACCAGGTCTCCTCTCCCATGGCCCAGGGGCCTTCAGTGGGACTGAGAGGAGGAGGGAAGGAGAGTGGGTGACAGGGAAGAACTGCAGGGAGAGAGGAGAGGGGTGGGAGAAGGAGAAGGAAGGAAGGGGTAGGATGGAAGCTGGGTTTCTCCCTGTGCCCGCCCCCTACTCCAGGACATGTGTCCAAGCCCTGGCAGGTGGAATTTTGGGGGCAGGGCCTTGGTGGTGAGGAGACCTTCCAGGGGTCTGATAGCATCTCCCATCTCAGAGCCCACCTCCTGGGCCCAGCCTCCCCTCCAGCCCACACAGTGGCATTCCCAGTCCTCAGAGGACAGCTTCGTCCCACAAAGCTCAGAGCCTTGAGGAAGGCCCACTGCTGCCCTGGAACAGAGACAGCATTCAACAGAGGTTGGAACAAGGCTCTACAGGGCTGGGGGCAGAGGGAGGTTCTGTCCAGAATCTGCCTTCAGGACAAGTACAGCCAGCAGGGGCAGCTTAGCCACTTATCCACTGCCTGGGCGAGGCACAGGGCTATGGAGGCACCTACCAACCAACAGTTCTCCAGCCCCAGAGCCCCAGCCCCTGAGGCACAAGGGTGGGTGTGCCAGGAGACAGTTGCTGCGGGCCACCTTAGCTGTCTGGCAGCACAGTGGGTGCTGCCAGGCTCCCTGGGGGCCCCCCGCCAAGCCCACCTGGCCAGCTGGGCCCCCCCCACCTCCCCACCAAGCCACCCACACAGCCTCACATCTCTGAGACCCGGGAGTGGCCCTTTGTTCATAAACGAGAGCTTCCTCGCCGTGGCCGCGCCTCGCAGACATCATCTTTGATGCTCTTTTTCCACTGTTTCGGTGCTTTAATGTTTTCCCTTCAGAGCCGGGCCGAGTGTCTCTCGGAGCCAGGCAGCCGCGCCAGCTGTCAGGCGGTTTCTAGCCTCGCTTCGGTTATTTTAAGCTGATGAGCCTGACGCATCTCATCACTAATATCAGCAGTTTCATTTCTCCTGTTTTCCATTCGCTGTAATAAAATGCTCAGCACAGAATACAAGGAGATAAGCAAGCCATTTCACAAACGCCGGGCCGCCAGCCAGGCCCAGGCACTGGACCCCCTGAACCACCCCACCCTGGCACGAGTGGGCTGGAGGGCAGGGCCCCGGGGAAGAAGGTCAAGGCTGGAAGGGGAGGTCAGCCTCACAGCCAGCCCCTGCCACCGCCCCAGCCCCCCCGTCAGGCTGTTGCAGGCATCACACGGTGGAAAGATCTGGAACTGTGGCCATGGTGTGAGGCCATCCACAAGGTGGAAGCTTTGAGGGGGAGCCGATTAGCCATGGACAGTTGTCATTCAGTAGGGTCACCTGTGCCCCAGCGAAGGGGGATGGGCCGGGAAGGCAGAGGCCAGGCACCTGCCCCCAGCAGGGGCAGAGGCTGTGGGCAGCCGGGAGGCTCCCAGAGGCTCCGACAGAATGGGAGTGGGGTTGAGCCCACCCCTCACTGCAGCCCAGGAACCTGAGCCCAGAGGGGGCCACCCACCTTCCCCAGGCAGGGAGGCCCGGCCCCCAGGGAGATGGGGGGGATGGGGGAGGAGAAGGGCCTGCCCCCACCCGGCAGCCTCAGGAGGGGCAGCTCGGGCGGGATATGGAAAGAGGCCACAGCAGTGAGCAGAGACACAGAGGAGGAAGGGGCCCTGAGCTGGGGAGACCCCCACGGGGTAGGGCGTGGGGGCCACGGGCCCACCTCCTCCCCATCTCCTCTGTCTCCCTGTCTCTGTCTCTCTCTCCCTCCCCCACCCTCTCCCCAGTCCTACCCCCTCCTCACCCCTCCTCCCCCAGCACTGCCTCTGTCACTCTCGCCCACGTGGATGTGGAGGAAGAGGGGGCGGGAGCAAGGGGCGGGCACCCTCCCTTCAACCTGACCTGGGACAGTTTCCCTTCCGCTCACCTCCGCCTGAGCAGTGGAGAAGGCGGCACTCTGGTGGGGCTGCTCCAGGCATGCAGATCCCACAGGCGCCCTGGCCAGTCGTCTGGGCGGTGCTACAACTGGGCTGGCGGCCAGGATGGTTCTTAGGTAGGTGGGGTCGGCGGTCAGGTGTCCCAGAGCCAGGGGTCTGGAGGGACCTTCCACCCTCAGTCCCTGGCAGGTCGGGGGGTGCTGAGGCGGGCCTGGCCCTGGCAGCCCAGGGGTCCCGGAGCGAGGGGTCTGGAGGGACCTTTCACTCTCAGTCCCTGGCAGGTCGGGGGGTGCTGTGGCAGGCCCAGCCTTGGCCCCCAGCTCTGCCCCTTACCCTGAGCTGTGTGGCTTTGGGCAGCTCGAACTCCTGGGTTCCTCTCTGGGCCCCAACTCCTCCCCTGGCCCAAGTCCCCTCTTTGCTCCTGGGCAGGCAGGACCTCTGTCCCCTCTCAGCCGGTCCTTGGGGCTGCGTGTTTCTGTAGAATGACGGGTCAGGCTGGCCAGAACCCCAAACCTTGGCCGTGGGGAGTCTGCGTGGCGGCTCTGCCTTGCCCAGGCATCCTTGGTCCTCACTCGAGTTTTCCTAAGGATGGGATGAGCCCCATGTGGGACTAACCTTGGCTTTACGACGTCAAAGTTTAGATGAGCTGGTGATATTTTTCTCATTATATCCAAAGTGTACCTGTTCGAGTGAGGACAGTTCTTCTGTCTCCAGGATCCCTCCTGGGTGGGGATTGTGCCCGCCTGGGTCTCTGCCCAGATTCCAGGGCTCTCCCCGAGCCCTGTTCAGACCATCCGTGGGGGAGGCCTTGGCCTCACTCTCCCGGATCGAGGAGAGAGGGAGCCTCTTCCTGGGCTGCCCGTGACCCTGGGCCCTCTGTGTACACTGTGACCACAGCCCGCTCCTGGACCCTCTGTGCCCGGCTGGCCCTCTGTGCCCAGCCAGCCTGCACCTGGGGATGCCAAGGCCTGGGGAGGGTGGTTTCACCCAGGCCAAGCCTAAGACAGTCCCTCTGGGCCCTGCTGGGTACCGGGGTGTGACACCACTGGGAGGACAAGATGAGGGGCACCCCTGGGGCCGCCCTGACACCCCCTCGAGGCTCCTGCCCCGGGGGTCCTGGTGCCCCTTCACTGTGGCAGGCGACTGGGGGTTCCCCACCTCGGCCCCTCTCCCGGGGCCTGCTCCCCGGCACCTGAGGCAGCATCCTTGTCAGGGCCGTGCCTTCCTGCCTCAGCGCCACCTCTTAAGGTTGGCCCGTGGGTCACTCAGGACTCAGAACTGGAGATTCTGGGCAAAAGGCAAAGAGCAAAGGGCCAAAAGGCATCCCAGGGAGACGACTGCGGGGGAACCAGAGGGCAGAGGGGCGCTCGTCACAGGGGAGGGGGAGCTGAGCGAGGCAGGAGGGGAGCCGAGCCTCTCCCCCCGTGTCCCGGCTCTTCAGGCACGCCCTCGGGACGCCACCCTCCCCGACCCAGGCGGGAAAGATAAGAGCAAGGTGTCCGCAGCCTGACACTCGTGCCTCAGGTGCCCGCGCTTGTGCCGGACAAGACTCTCACAGGTGGCATGCCTCGGTTTCCCCACTGGTAACAGCACAGGGCACTCAGCAAGGCGCAGTGGGCATGACTGGGGTCCTGTGGGTCCTGACCCAGATGTGGCCACCCCGGCCGCAGTGGTCTTCATTCCAGGATGCCTCTTTTCCCTCCTGATCTATTCACTGCGTTCGCCATTCGGTCATTCCCGGGGCCACCACTCCCACCTCAGGTGTGTGCTTCCCTTGTGTTTTATGAGATATCCCCAACCCGGCTGCTTATTGGCCCCGTCCGAGGGCAGGAGCATAAATAAGAGCCTCTGCTTTGGCGTGGGACCACTGTGAGCTCCAGTCAGCGCTGCCACTGCTGAGCTCTGGGCCTTCGACAGGACTTGGCCCCTTACTGACTTCTCCGTGTGCTTTGGGTCATGGGTGAGGACGCCTCCTGGCAAGGCTGCGTCCTGAGGATTAAATCGGGTCATCTGTGAAAACTACCCAGCCCAGCCCCTGACACTTTTTTGTTTGTTTCTTTTAGTGACAGGGTCTTGCTCTGTCACCCAGGCTGGAGTGCAGTGGTGTGATCTCGGCTCACTCGACCTCCGGGGCTCAAGCAATTCTCCCACCTCTGCCTCCAGAGTAGCTGGGACTATAGGCACGTGCCACCCTGCCAGGCTAATTTCTTCCATTTTTTTTAGAGACAGGGTCTCGCTATGTTCCCCAGGCTGGGCTCAAATGGTCCTCCCACCTCAGCCTCCCCAAGTACTGGGATTACAGGCATAAGCCACTGCATCTGGCCTCCATGACACATATTTTTAAAGTCTGATTTTTAAAGTCAAACTTTTGAAGTCAGATTTTAAACGGACTATTTTGAAAAATATACAAAAACGTTTAAAAACAATGAATATCCCTCACCTAGAATCAATAACTAAGAATATTGACACATTTGCTTTGGGGACTGGGCGGCTGGAGCTGCCATGACAAAGCTCCGCCGACCGAGTGGCTTTTAAACAGAGCCTGCCCTCTCGCCGACTGAGGGCTGGACGTGCAGGATGGAGCTCCGCAGGGTCGGCTCCCCTGTGCTCTGAGGGGCTCTGCTCAGCCTCTCCCGGCTGTGGCTTAAAAACAGAGCCTGTCCTCCCGCCGTGGGGGGCTGGACATGCAGGACCGAGGGGCCACAGGGTCGGCTCCCTGTGCTCCGAGAGGGCTCTGCTCAGCTTCTCCTGGCTGGGGGGTTTTGTGGCCACCCTCTGTGTTCCTGGGTTCAGAAGCATCCCCCAGGCTCTGCCTTCATCTCTGCACGGGTGACTCTGTACAGGAAGCCAGGCCTGCTGGTCAATGGCCACCCAGCCCTGTGCCCTCATCTTACCTAGTCCCAGCTGCCGTCACCCTATTCCTAATAAGGCCGCCTTCTGAGGTCATGGGGTTAGGACTTCCACATAGGAATCTGTGGGGACACGGTTCGGCCCACAGCCCTTCCCACCTCCACACACACACACGACTGTGAGGAGTTGGAAGACCTCACTCCTCACCCCTGCCAGGTCCTCTAGGGACAAGCTCGCTGTCCTCATCCCAGCACAGCCCGTGGGACGGTTTCCTTGTCCCTAATGGGACCACGGTCAGAGATGCCGGGTCTGGTCTGGGCCAGCAGGTTCCTCCGCCCGGGGCAGGCAGCCTTCTTCTGTGCGCTTCTGGAAAGCAATGTCCTGTAATGCGGTCTCTCTGCGGGAGCACCCCCACCGCCACCTCACAGGCCTGTTCCACAGCCCCGGGATGGGCTCTGTCTCCCTCCTGACCCTGCATAGGGCACAGCCCTCTCTCATCAACCCACGATCCTACGTGGATCCGAGAGGGAGCACCTGGGGAAACAATGGAATCCCATAGAAACACCCCAAATCTAACTTGATCCAGGACCAGCCAGTGGTCACTTCTGAATATTCACCTTCCTAGTAGACACTACCAGCCAAGGGAGGCCAGGAAGCCTTCCTGGAGGAGGTGGCCTGAGGACTGGGGTGAGGCAGGCCCTGCGTGGGGGTCGCCACCCAGCACCCCCACACTGGGTGGGAGCCAGTCTCTGAGACTGGCTGGGGGAGGTGGGAGAGGGGGCTGCTTGAACTGCAGACACCGAGGTCTAGCCCCCACCCCACCCAGCCAGTTGGTGGAGGCAGGGGAGGCCGAGGGGCCCAGCTGGACCTGCTCCCCGGGGTGGATTCCAAAATAGGGGGGTTGGGGGGGGCGGAACAGGAGCCCAGGGTCCTGGCTTGAGGCCCAGTGGCTGAGGGCTGGTGCAAGCCAGACAGGAAAAGGGTTGAGCCTGTCAGCGCCAGCACAGATCAAGTCAGGAGCAGGTCCCTCCACCAATGTGTGCAAATAAATAGCAGCTAAGTTTCCAGTTACAAGAACAATGCACAGATGGTCCCAGGGACATTGCGGTGTGGACACACAGCGGCCATTGTCCTGTCGCCAGCACCTCGCCCTACAGCTGGGGGGTCCCTTAGCACTTCCTAGCCATGCAGGGTCCCTGCTCACAGTACCCGTGATGACTTCTGTTCCTCACCTGCCTGTCTGTCCCGACAGCTGCATGGCAGCCCTGGCCTGGGAGATGGAGACCCCGAGGGGCTGCCTGCGGTGGTGGGGCCCCTGGGTCCCCACTGCATTCCCAGAAACCCAGAGGGCAGGGCATTTCCCCTGCTCTGTGCCGAGTCCACCCAGCCCCAGCCTAGGCCCAGTAAGGGCTGCAGCCCACCCTGTCCCAGGCTGCCTCCCAGGAGCCCTCTTGGCCCTGATGCCAGAAGCCCATCTTCCTCCATTCAGGCAGGTCTCTGAGTGCCCTGGCCTGGCTGCCTGCTGGCCCTGAGAGTCACACTACCCCACAGCCCTCCTTGGTCAAAATCCACTCTGGAGTGGCTGGAAGATTCCCCGGGCCCACGCCGCACACGCCTATGCAGGGAGCTTCCCCTGGCCGGCCGGCAGACAAGGGCGGTCTCAGAGAGGGGGCTCACCTCAGCAGCCCCTTGTGTAGCTGGCCCTCGCCCCTGCCACCTCTGGGAACACCACCAGGAAGCTGGGGGACAGGCACGCAGGTGAAGGAGGCGAGCGCTTGTCAGCCGGGAGGCCATGGGCACAGAGGGAACAGGGACACCCTGGGTGGCCTCAAGGTCACTTCAAACCCCTCACTCGTCCCCTGGGAGGGTGCCCAGTGAGGTTGGCACTAGGAGTTGGTCCTGGTCACATGACAGACCCACCCACCTCTGGTGTCCAGCCAGCACGCCGTGGGCCAGCCTGGCTGCAGGGACACGAGGGCAGCAGCCCCCTCCTCCTCTGAGCTGGTTGCTCCTTGAGTCATCACCACCGCCTGCCACGGAGGCCGCCTGTCCCAGGAAGCAGAGGGACCGCAGCTGTGGCAACCAGGGCCTGGTCTCTGTGTCACCTCGCTGGGGGGCCGTGCCCAGGCCTGAGACGGAACTGAGTGACAGTGCACTGGGTCTGACAGTGTGGGGCTGGCGCCATGTTTGGGGAACCCTGTGGCATGGGACCTGTGGGTGAGCCGGGAAAATCACCCCGTTGCATGGCATCTCGGGCCTGGATCTTAAGCGCCTGTGTTGGTGCCTCCGCCTGGCGGAAGAGCCGCGACCCCCACGTTGCCATGCGGGTATCCCAAGCCCTGACCCTGGCAGGCATATGTTTCAGGAGGTCCTTGTCTTGGGAGCCCAGGGTCGGGGGCCCCGTGTCTGTCCACATCCGAGTCAATGGCCCATCTCGTCTCTGAAGCATCTTTGCTGTGAGCTCTAGTCCCCACTGTCTTGCTGGAAAATGTGGAGGCCCCACTGCCCACTGCCCAGGGCAGCAATGCCCATACCACGTGGTCCCAGCTCCGAGCTTGTCCTGAAAAGGGGGCAAAGACTGGACCCTGAGCCTGCCAAGGGGCCACACTCCTCCCAGGGCTGGGGTCTCCATGGGCAGCCCCCCACCCACCCAGACCAGTTACACTCCCCTGTGCCAGAGCAGTGCAGACAGGACCAGGCCAGGATGCCCAAGGGTCAGGGGCTGGGGATGGGTAGCCCCCAAACAGCCCTTTCTGGGGGAACTGGCCTCAACGGGGAAGGGGGTGAAGGCTCTTAGTAGGAAATCAGGGAGACCCAAGTCAGAGCCAGGTGCTGTGCAGAAGCTGCAGCCTCACGTAGAAGGAAGAGGCTCTGCAGTGGAGGCCAGTGCCCATCCCCGGGTGGCAGAGGCCCCAGCAGAGACTTCTCAATGACATTCCAGCTGGGGTGGCCCTTCCAGAGCCCTTGCTGCCCGAGGGATGTGAGCAGGTGGCCGGGGAGGCTTTGTGGGGCCACCCAGCCCCTTCCTCACCTCTCTCCATCTCTCAGACTCCCCAGACAGGCCCTGGAACCCCCCCACCTTCTCCCCAGCCCTGCTCGTGGTGACCGAAGGGGACAACGCCACCTTCACCTGCAGCTTCTCCAACACATCGGAGAGCTTCGTGCTAAACTGGTACCGCATGAGCCCCAGCAACCAGACGGACAAGCTGGCCGCCTTCCCCGAGGACCGCAGCCAGCCCGGCCAGGACTGCCGCTTCCGTGTCACACAACTGCCCAACGGGCGTGACTTCCACATGAGCGTGGTCAGGGCCCGGCGCAATGACAGCGGCACCTACCTCTGTGGGGCCATCTCCCTGGCCCCCAAGGCGCAGATCAAAGAGAGCCTGCGGGCAGAGCTCAGGGTGACAGGTGCGGCCTCGGAGGCCCCGGGGCAGGGGTGAGCTGAGCCGGTCCTGGGGTGGGTGTCCCCTCCTGCACAGGATCAGGAGCTCCAGGGTCGTAGGGCAGGGACCCCCCAGCTCCAGTCCAGGGCTCTGTCCTGCACCTGGGGAATGGTGACCGGCATCTCTGTCCTCTAGCTCTGGAAGCACCCCAGCCCCTCTAGTCTGCCCTCACCCCTGACCCTGACCCTCCACCCTGACCCCGTCCTAACCCCTGACCTTTGTGCCCTTCCAGAGAGAAGGGCAGAAGTGCCCACAGCCCACCCCAGCCCCTCACCCAGGCCAGCCGGCCAGTTCCAAACCCTGGTGGTTGGTGTCGTGGGCGGCCTGCTGGGCAGCCTGGTGCTGCTAGTCTGGGTCCTGGCCGTCATCTGCTCCCGGGCCGCACGAGGTAACGTCATCCCAGCCCCTCGGCCTGCCCTGCCCTAACCCTGCTGGCGGCCCTCACTCCCGCCTCCCCTTCCTCCACCCTTCCCTCACCCCACCCCACCTCCCCCCATCTCCCCGCCAGGCTAAGTCCCTGATGAAGGCCCCTGGACTAAGACCCCCCACCTAGGAGCACGGCTCAGGGTCGGCCTGGTGACCCCAAGTGTGTTTCTCTGCAGGGACAATAGGAGCCAGGCGCACCGGCCAGCCCCTGGTGAGTCTCACTCTTTTCCTGCATGATCCACTGTGCCTTCCTTCCTGGGTGGGCAGAGGTGGAAGGACAGGCTGGGACCACACGGCCTGCAGGACTCACATTCTATTATAGCCAGGACCCCACCTCCCCAGCCCCCAGGCAGCAACCTCAATCCCTAAAGCCATGATCTGGGGCCCCAGCCCACCTGCGGTCTCCGGGGGTGCCCGGCCCATGTGTGTGCCTGCCTGCGGTCTCCAGGGGTGCCTGGCCCACGCGTGTGCCCGCCTGCGGTCTCTGGGGGTGCCCGGCCCACATATGTGCCTGCCTGCGGTCTCCAGGTGTGCCCGGCCCATGCGTGTGCCCACCTGCGAGGGCGTGGGGTGGGCTTGGTCATTTCTTATCTTACATTGGAGACAGGAGAGCTTGAAAAGTCACATTTTGGAATCCTAAATCTGCAAGAATGCCAGGGACATTTCAGAGGGGGACATTGAGCCAGAGAGGAGGGGTGGTGTCCCCAGATCACACAGAGGGCAGTGGTGGGACAGCTCAGGGTAAGCAGCTCATAGTGGGGGGCCCAGGTTCGGTGCCGGTACTGCAGCCAGGCTGTGGAGCCGCGGGCCTCCTTCCTGCGGTGGGCCGTGGGGCTGACTCCCTCTCCCTTTCTCCTCAAAGAAGGAGGACCCCTCAGCCGTGCCTGTGTTCTCTGTGGACTATGGGGAGCTGGATTTCCAGTGGCGAGAGAAGACCCCGGAGCCCCCCGTGCCCTGTGTCCCTGAGCAGACGGAGTATGCCACCATTGTCTTTCCTAGCGGAATGGGCACCTCATCCCCCGCCCGCAGGGGCTCAGCTGACGGCCCTCGGAGTGCCCAGCCACTGAGGCCTGAGGATGGACACTGCTCTTGGCCCCTCTGACCGGCTTCCTTGGCCACCAGTGTTCTGCAGACCCTCCACCATGAGCCCGGGTCAGCGCATTTCCTCAGGAGAAGCAGGCAGGGTGCAGGCCATTGCAGGCCGTCCAGGGGCTGAGCTGCCTGGGGGCGACCGGGGCTCCAGCCTGCACCTGCACCAGGCACAGCCCCACCACAGGACTCATGTCTCAATGCCCACAGTGAGCCCAGGCAGCAGGTGTCACCGTCCCCTACAGGGAGGGCCAGATGCAGTCACTGCTTCAGGTCCTGCCAGCACAGAGCTGCCTGCGTCCAGCTCCCTGAATCTCTGCTGCTGCTGCTGCTGCTGCTGCTGCTGCCTGCGGCCCGGGGCTGAAGGCGCCGTGGCCCTGCCTGACGCCCCGGAGCCTCCTGCCTGAACTTGGGGGCTGGTTGGAGATGGCCTTGGAGCAGCCAAGGTGCCCCTGGCAGTGGCATCCCGAAACGCCCTGGACGCAGGGCCCAAGACTGGGCACAGGAGTGGGAGGTACATGGGGCTGGGGACTCCCCAGGAGTTATCTGCTCCCTGCAGGCCTAGAGAAGTTTCAGGGAAGGTCAGAAGAGCTCCTGGCTGTGGTGGGCAGGGCAGGAAACCCCTCCACCTTTACACATGCCCAGGCAGCACCTCAGGCCCTTTGTGGGGCAGGGAAGCTGAGGCAGTAAGCGGGCAGGCAGAGCTGGAGGCCTTTCAGGCCCAGCCAGCACTCTGGCCTCCTGCCGCCGCATTCCACCCCAGCCCCTCACACCACTCGGGAGAGGGACATCCTACGGTCCCAAGGTCAGGAGGGCAGGGCTGGGGTTGACTCAGGCCCCTCCCAGCTGTGGCCACCTGGGTGTTGGGAGGGCAGAAGTGCAGGCACCTAGGGCCCCCCATGTGCCCACCCTGGGAGCTCTCCTTGGAACCCATTCCTGAAATTATTTAAAGGGGTTGGCCGGGCTCCCACCAGGGCCTGGGTGGGAAGGTACAGGCGTTCCCCCGGGGCCTAGTACCCCCGCCGTGGCCTATCCACTCCTCACATCCACACACTGCACCCCCACTCCTGGGGCAGGGCCACCAGCATCCAGGCGGCCAGCAGGCACCTGAGTGGCTGGGACAAGGGATCCCCCTTCCCTGTGGTTCTATTATATTATAATTATAATTAAATATGAGAGCATGCTAAGGAGTTCTGTCCTGTCTGGTGGCTGTGGGGGCAGTGGGCAGGAGGGAGGGAGGCCTCCAGGGAGGGACAAGGCGGCAGCCAGGCTGAGGCTGTGTGTGGAGGGTGCTGGTGGCTCCCCTGGATCCTGGCCTGAGTCAGGCCTTCCCCTCGCTGTCCCAGAAACACACAGGCCCTCCTCGCCCTGTTTGCCCCACTCACATGTAGAGCCCTCCGGTGAAAAATTCCTCCAACATCACGGGGCTGGGGACACCATCTTCCCCAAGCCCAGGCCTTTTAGGGGGGTCCCACGGCCCCCTGGCCCCAGGCTTCCTGGCCAGGCATGGGTGTCCCTGAGTGACTGTGCCTGCTCCATAGCCCCCGTGTCCCCATGCCTACCAGTCCCTCCGGGCAGGGGTGGTACCTGGTGCCAGGGCGTCCACAGCGGGGTGGGAGGGCTGCCCTGGGCTATGAGGGACACAGCATCTGCGGGTCCCTCCCTAAGTACACAGGGTGGGGGCAGCGGGGGAGGCGGGGTCACGTCTGCTGGAGCCCTATCACCCTGCTGCGGTCCTTGGCAGCTAGCAGCAGGGACGGTGCAGGGAAAGGAGCCCTGCCAGGCCCTCGGGCACCGCAGCCAAACACCCACTGACACCCCGGGGCTCATTCTCTGCTTGCCATCCTGGAGCCCAGTCCTGGACCCCATGCCTGTGTCAGGGACAGGCACAGAGACCTCGCAGCTCTGGGAACTCCCGGTGAGATCCGGCAGATCAGGCCTGGCAGGGAACGCTGCCCGGGGGCTCTGCACATGATGTGGGTTTCCATCCGCAAAACCCGATAGGTCCCATGGAAAATGACCACAGGCAATGAGAAAGCCATAGAGTGCTGCCTGTGAGATCAGCGTCCAGAACTCACAGCTCTCAAACACCCACTCACAGCGCAGCGCGCCAGCGTCCAGAATTCACGGCTCTCATTCATCCATTGACAGCGCAGCGCGCCAGCATCCAGAACTCAAGGCTCTCAAACACCCATTCACAGCGCAGCGCGCCAGCATCCAGAACTCACGGCTCTCATTCATCCACTGACAGCGCAGCGCGCCAGCATCCAGAACTCAAGGCTCTCAAACACCCATTCACAGCACAGCGCGCCAGCATCCAGAACTCACGGCTCTCATTCATCCATTGACAGCGCAGCGCACCAGCATCCAGAACTCAAGGCTCTCATACACCCATTCACAGCGCAGCGCGCCAGCATCCAGAACTCAAGGCTTTCATTCATCCATTGACAGCGCAGCGCGCCAGCATCCAGAACTCACGTCTCTCATTCATCCACTGACAGCGCAGCGCGCCAGCATCCAGAACTCAAGGCTCTCAAACACCCATTCACAGCGCAGCGCGCCAGCATCCAGAACTCAAGGCTCTCATTCATCCATTGACAGCGCAGCGCGCCAGCGTCCAGAACTCACGTCTCTCATTCATCCACTGACAGCGCGGCGCGCCAGCATCCAGAACTCAAGGCTCTCAAACACCCATTCACAGCGCAGCGCGCCAGCATCCAGAACTCAAGGCTTTCATTCATCCATTGACAGCGCAGCGCGCCAGCATCCAGAACTCAAGGCTCTCAAACACCCATTCACAGCGCAGCGCGCCAGCATCCAGAACTCAAGGCTCTCAAACACCCATTCACAGCGCAGCGCGCCAGCATCCAGAACTCAAGGCTCTCATTCATCCATTGTCAGCGCAGCGCGCCAGCATCCAGAACTCAAGGCTCTCAAACACCCATTCACAGCGCAGCGCGCCAGCATCCAGAACTCAAGGCTCTCATACACCCATTCACAGCGCAGCGCGCCAGCATCCAGAACTCACGTCTCTCATTCATCCACTGACAGCGCAGCGCGCCAGCATCCAGAACTCAAGGCTCTCATTCATCCATTGACAGCGCAGCGCGCCAGCATCCAGAACTCAAGGCTCTCAAACACCCATTCACAGCGCAGCGCGCCAGCATCCAGAACTCACGGCTCTCATTCATCCATTGACAGCGCAGCGCGCTAGCATCCAGAACTCACGTCTCTCATTCATCCACTGACAGCGCAGCGCGCCAGCATCCAGAACTCAAGGCTCTCAAACACCCATTCACAGCGCAGCGCGCCAGCATCCAGAACTCACGGCTCTCATTCATCCATTGACAGCGCAGCGCACCAGCATCCAGAACTCAAGGCTCTCATACACCCATTCACAGCGCAGCGCGCCAGCATCCAGAACTCAAGGCTTTCATTCATCCATTGACAGCGCAGCGCGCCAGCGTCCAGAACTCACGTCTCTCATTCATCCACTGACAGCGCAGCACGCCAGCATCCAGAACTCAAGGCTCTCAAACACCCATTCACAGCGCAGCGCGCCAGCATCCAGAACTCAAGGCTCTCATTCATCCATTGACAGCGCAGCGCGCCAGCGTCCAGAACTCACGTCTCTCATTCATCCACTGACAGCGCAGCACGCCAGCATCCAGAACTCAAGGCTCTCAAACACCCATTCACAGCGCAGCGCGCCAGCATCCAGAACTCAAGGCTTTCATTCATCCATTGACAGCGCTGCGCACCAGCGTCCAGAACTCACGTCTCTCATTCATCCACTGACAGCGCGGCGCGCCAGCATCCAGAACTCAAGGCTCTCATTCATCCATTGTCAGCGCAGCGCGCCAGCATCCAGAACTCAAGGCTCTCAAACACCCATTCACAGCGCAGCGCGCCAGCATCCAGAACTCAAGGCTCTCATACACCCATTCACAGCGCAGCGCGCCAGCATCCAGAACTCACGTCTCTCATTCATCCACTGACAGCGCAGCGCGCCAGCATCCAGAACTCAAGGCTCTCATTCATCCATTGACAGCGCAGCGCGCCAGCATCCAGAACTCAAGGCTCTCAAACACCCATTCACAGCGCAGCGCGCCAGCATCCAGAACTCACGGCTCTCATTCATCCATTGACAGCGCAGGGCGCTAGCATCCAGAACTCACGTCTCTCATTCATCCACTGACAGCGCAGCGCGCCAGCATCCAGAACTCAAGGCTCTCAAACACCCATTCACAGCGCAGCGCGCCAGCATCCAGAACTCACGGCTCTCATTCATCCATTGACAGCGCAGCGCGCTAGCATCCAGAACTCAAGGCTCTCAAACACCCATTCACAGCGCAGCGCGCCAGCGTCCAAAATTCACGGCTCTCATACACCCATTCACCCCATTCACAGCACAGTGCGCTAGGAGACGGAGTGGCGGGCGATGTTTCATCTAGGACAGCAAGAGAGAAGATGCTCCCGGCATAAACCTAGCCAGAAACGTGGGAAAGCTGCCGCAGAGGCTGAACTCAATCAAAGGCACCCTGACCCCCGGGCCCCGAAGAGGCGCCACAGCTGCAAACATGCACGTTCTTCCGATACAATTTGTAAATTTAATACGATCCCAGTAAAAACCACAGTTCTGGAACTACCATGCTCATATGGAAAAATTAACAAGCAAGTAACAGCCAAAAAAACCATGAAAAGAAAGTGAAAGAGGACCAGCTTTATGAGCTCAGGGGAAACTTACTGTAATGAAAACAGGGTGGGATAAGCACCAGAAGACACAGGAACAGGCCCAGTCCCTGCGACCCAAATCAGTGAGGGGAAAAACGACTTTTTAACCAACTGCCCAGGGATAGGGATAGCCATCTGGAAAAGTATTAAGTTAGACTCATATGCACAAAATCCCAAATGCAGCAGAGAGAAAAGCATACAAAAAGAACCCTGGCCGCGCGTGGTGGCTCACGCCTGTGATCCCAGCACTTTGGGAGGTCGAGGCGGGTGGATCACAAGGTCAGGAGATTGAGACCATCCTGGCTAACACGGTGAAACCCTGTCTCTACTAAAAACACAAAAAATTAGCCGGGCATGGTGGCGGGCACCTGTGGTCCCAGCTACTCGGGAGGCTGAGGCAGGAGAATGGCGTGAACCCGGGAGGCGGAGCTTGCAGTGAGCCGAGATCATGCCACTGCACTCCAGCCTGGGCGACACAGCAAGACTCCGTCTCAAAAAAGAAAAAAAAAGGAACCCTACAAGAAACAAGAAACCGTGGGTGCATTCTTGCAGTGTGGGAGGGGAAGGCATTCCCAATGAATAAAGGACATCAGGCAACAATTAAAGAGAAGACTGATACACTGAACTCCATATATTGGAAAACAAAAAACTTTAGCTTGGCAAAAAAAATCATAAACAAACTGAGGGAAAATGTTTGCACCACCACAAAAGAGCGAATATGCCAGTCGTAGGAAGATCTAAGAGTCTGGAAAAAGCAAGGTCAAAAATACACGAGAAAGTGCAGGAGACATAACCCAACAGCTCAGAGAAAATGTGTGTGCGTGAGCCTGTGTGTGCACGTGTCTACACGTGTGTAGACATATGTGTGCATACAAATGTGTGTATGTACATACACAGGGGTATGTGTGTGGGTGTGTGTGTACAGGTGTGCGGACGTGTGTATCTACAATATATGTATATACGGCAGTGCCTGCGTGCATACCCATATCCCTTAAACAATGAAAGGTTGTTCAGGTTCTCTCAACAAAAATACAAGTTGAAACTACATCCACCAGGCTGACAGAGCTCTGACAACGGTGCGGCTGTTGGCGAGGCAGCAGGGAGCAGGCCTGAGGGGCTGGCGGGGAAGCCGAGCTGGAGACGCACCGGTGCTGTCTGGTAGGCGGTGGGCACTTGCCCTTTGCCCCCTCAACCCCCATCCTCGTCGAAACACTTCCCAGAGGTCACCGGCAAACATGTGCAGACGCAGAGCCCACGAGCTCACGGCGCTGGCTCGGCAACGGCAAAGCCGTCCAAAGCCGGCCGGGGGCTTGAGCCCGCCCCGGAGCCTCCATCAGCTGAGAGCTGGGGCCGCGGGAGCAGGGAGGAGGCTCAGGGCTCCCCACAGAGGGTCAGGTCACTCAAGACCATGAGGGGACACACGCGCAGGACAGAACAACTCGCTGTCCCCAACTTGCTGTCGTGTGAAAATGACACGGCAGCAGTCTGAGCATCAAACAATGCCAAATTAAAATTAAAAACCTAACTGAGGCTTGGCACGGTGGCACTTTGGGAGGCCGAGGCGGGAGGGTCGCTTGAGCCCAGGAGTTTGAGACCAGCCTGGGCAGCAAAGTGAGATCCTGTCTCTAAGGAAAAATTTTAAAATTAGCCAGGTGCGGTGGTCCCAGCTCCTCGGGAGGCTGAGGCGGGAGGATCCCTGGAGTCCCGGAGGTGGAGGCCGCAGTGAGCCACGATGGTGCCAC
The DNA here is from genome assembly GCF_000001405.40 of Homo sapiens. Classification (NCBI taxonomy): domain Eukaryota; kingdom Metazoa; phylum Chordata; class Mammalia; order Primates; family Hominidae; genus Homo; species Homo sapiens. The sequence continues at coordinate 56,692 of NT_187527.1, read as the reverse complement.
TGACTCCAGCCTGGGCGACAGAGCAAGACCCTGTCAAAAAAAAAAAAAAAAAAAGCCTAATTGATTGACACACTTTGAGTACGTTAAAAAGAACATGAGCTCAGATCGATACTCACAAAAAGAGACAAGGCGGGCGGGGAGGGAGGAAGCGGTCGCTGTCCCCGGGCGTCCGCGGTGTGTTGGCGGCTGAGAGACCGCGGCGCAGTCAGCACTTCGCCTCCCGCCTTCCCGTCAGGCCGCCCCGCGCCGCCGCGCACTCACTTTTTCCGTCCCCGGCTGGCCCCGGGCCTGTGTCGCCGCCGGGCTGCGGCTGCGCTCCCGCCCCACCCACGCGCCCCAGGCGGGTCGGCCCGGCCTCGCACAGCAGCTGCGGCGGCTTCAGGAGCGCCCTGGGTGTGGCCGGGCCTCGGGGCTCCCCGGGGGACAGTGCCGGGAGGAGGCCGGGGCGCGTGGGACCCGGAGCGAGAGAGGCGCGGCCCCGCCCCGTGTCCCAGGCCCCTGAGCCCGGCCAGCTCCACCCACGCCCGCGCCCCCGCGCCCCCGCGCCCCCGCGCCCCCGACCCTGCAGCGCCGCCCCCACCCCTGCGCCCCACCCCAGCCCCGCCCACACCCACCGGCCGGGTCTGCGGAGTGCGTGGGCGTTGGACGCCTTACTCTGCACGGGGGACCGCGGGTCCTGTGGGCCTCGTGGATGGAGCCCGGGGTCCTTGGAATTGGGCGGGGTGGGGGGGAGTCCGCCCAGGGCTCCCAGCAGGAGCGAAGGTGAGCGGGGGGCCTCTGAAAGGGAACCCACCCTCGGGCTACAGGAGACCGGGCTGGCGATCTGGGTGCAGCGCCAAGGCCCTGGGGGCTGGTGGGGCCGCATGGGGGGCTGCGGTGTGAGTCCTGGTGGTCTCTACCCTCGTGCGTCAGGGCTCCAGTGTGGACAAACCTCGCTCTGAGTCTGGGTGAGGCTCCTGAGATTCTGGAGAGTTCAGGATGTGGAGGGTCCTCTGGAGGGTGACCGAGGCCGTGTGACCACACCATCGCCGTGGCCCCCTCGACTGTGGCACAATCGCTCCCCTTCTTGGGTGGATCTCCGCGTGTTCTCCCCATACCTCTGACCCCAGTCAGTCTGCCGCACCCACCAGTGGGGGCCCCTGTGTTTGTCCAGCCTTAGAAAACCTGGCCGGGGTGTGGCCGGAGGGGCACTGCCGGTGCCACTGGCCAGGGCTGTGAGAGCGCAGGATGCCTGCCCCGGGCACGGGGGCACCGTCGTCCCCAACTGCTTAGCCACAGAATCCAAGATTGGTTTGGGGTCTTCAGTTTTTATCTCAATTCAACCTGCAAAACCAAGTTATTACATACATGGAGGAGTATTCAGCCTTAAAAAGATGGAAGTCAGTGCACCCCATTCCCAGCAGCGCAATTCACAATCAGCGGCCATGTGGAAGCAGCAGCTCCGTGTCCACCGCCGGAGGAAGGAACGGACAGCACGGTGATTCCGCACAGAGGGAGTCACCTCAGGAAGGAAGGGCTCCCACACCCGCCGCAGCGTGGAGGAACCTCGAGGACGTCACACCGAGGGGCACAAGCCACAAAAGGACAAACACTGTGTGACTCCCCACACACGAGGTCCCCAGAGTGGGCCGGTTCATAGGCAGAAAAAGCAGACGGTGGGGCCCGGGGTCGGGGGAGCCAGCGGGAAGTGAGTGTTTAATGGGGACACTTTCTGTTTTGCAAGAGAAAAAGAGTTTCTGTTTCTGGGCTGGGAGGTCAGCCGCTGAACCGCTGAACCACAGTTGCTGGGCGGGGAAAGTGGGCCTCGACCACTGCCTGGCCTATGCAGGCTGCCCCGGAATCAGGGGCAGGGGCAGGAGCGCCGGGTGTGAGACCTCAGCCCATGGCAGCCTTCGGCCTCGCTGATGGACAGAAGGGGAAACTGAGGCCCAGGGAGGTGTAGCTGTAGTAGTGAGAGTTCTCTAGAGAAATAGAACCAATAGGCCGGGAGTGGTGGCTCATGCCTGTAATCCCAGCACTTTGGGAGGTCAGGACAAGCAGATCACTTGAGGTCAGGAGTTCGAGACCAGCCTGACCAACATGGAGAAACCCCATCTATACTAAAAATACAAAATTAGCCGTGGGTGGTGGCGCATGCCTGTAATCTCAGGTACTTGGGAGGTTGAGGCAGGAGAATTGCTTGAACCCAGGAGATGGAAGTTGCAGTGAGCCGAGATCGCGCCATTGCACTCCAGCCTAAACAACAAGAACAAAACTCCGTCTCAAAAAAAGAAAAAAAAAAAAAGAACCAATAGAATGTGGAGACAGAGAGAGAGAAACTTACTTGGAGAAATTGGCTCACATGACTACGGCAGGCAGGCAGGCTGGGGACGCAGGAGGAGCCGAAGTAGCCACTCAAATCCAAAGATGCCTGCAGGCAGGATTCCATCCTCCTTTCTCTCCTTTCTCTCCGGCCTTCATAGACTGGATGAGACTCCTGTGTCGCGGAGGCTGACCTGCTGATTCAAAGTCTACTGATCTCAGCGGTAATTTTATCTTCGAAAAATACCTTCACTGAAACTTCTGGACTGCTGTTTGACCAACATCAGAGTCCTGCGGCCTGGCCAAGCTGACACAGAATGAACCATTGCAGGCCGAAGGAGGCGGAGCAGGTGGCACGCAGGACCCCAGCTCTTCCAGGAAGTCTGGGCTTGTGGGGGGAATGGCCGGTGCGGCAGGGGGTCCCTCAGCCAAGGCGGGCCTGCAGCCGATCACGTTTTCACAAGTCCATTGGCCACGTGGATGCCCTCAAGATTATACTGATTGTCATCCACTTTCTTCCTTCTCTTTTCTTGGAATTTTTATAGCTACACTTTTTTAAAAATTAATAGGCTCTACTATCTAAAGCAGTTTGGGGTTTATGGAAAAGCTGAGTGGAAAGTAGACGGAGCCCCCATGTGCCCCTCGCCTCGCCCCTCACACACACTCTGCACCCCTATTGTTAGCGCCTTTGCCTTGGTGCTGGGTCCTTGCTGTGCGACGAATCTGCACTGACCTGGCCCCATCACGCAGGGTCCACAGCTCGAATTGGGGGCCAGTCTTGGCGTCTTGCGTTCCGGGAGTCCTGGCAAGTGCATGAGGTCAGGTATCCACCATGATGGTGTCAGGAGAGGCTTCCCTGCCCCGAAATTCCCCCGAGCTCCACTATTCACCCCTCCCTTCCCTGGCAACCACTGAGGATTCTTACTGTCTGGGTAGATTGCCTCTCCCGGAATGTTGTATAGTTGGAATCATACAGCATGCGGCCTTTTCAGATTAGCTTTGAGAACTAAAAATAAAATTCTAAGCTCCCAGTCAACTAAAAGGACGCCTGTTAGCCAAGGAGACCCCAGAGAAACCTTAACACCTGAGTTCCCAGCTAGGACGGGACAGGAGGACATATACAGCTCGTTAGAGCCCCTCCCTTTTGTGGTTTAGACACAAATGCCCAGAGTGAATGTTGAAATAGAGACCATAAGATTGGCAGGATTGGGCCAGGCGTGGTGGTTCACGCCTGTAATCCCAGCACTTTGGGAGGATGAGGTGGGTGGATCACTTGAGGTCAGGAGTTCAAGACCAGCCTGGCCAACGTGATGAAACCCCATCTTTACTAAAAATAAAAAAATTAGCTGGCCGTGGTGGCGGGCGCCTATAATCCCAGCTACTCGGGAGGCTGAGGCAGGAGAATCGCTTGAACCTGGGAGGCGGAGGTTTCAGTGAGCCGAGATCGCACCACTGCACTCCAGCCTGGGAGACAGAGTGAGACTCTGTCTCAAAAAAAAAAAAAAAATTGGCAGGGCTGAATACAGCAGTAAGATGCCAAATTATCAACAGGACCTGAGGCTGCACCAGGCAGGGTGAAGTCACACACGCTGCACTGACTTATGTCCTGCCTGCCATGAGGTTTTCTTTTTTTTTTTTTTTCTGAGGTGGAGTCTCACTCCGTTGCCCAGGCTGGAGTGCAGTGGGGCCATCCCGGCTCACTGCATCCTCCGCCTCCCAGATTCATGCCATTCTCCTGCCTCAGCCTCCTGAGTAGCTGGGATTACAGGCATGCACCACCACACCCGGCTAATTTTTGTATTTTTAGTAGACAGGGTTTCACCATGTTGGTCAGGCTGGTCTTGATCTGACCTCGTATTCTGCCAGCCTCGGCCTCCCAAAGTGCTGGGATTACAGGCATGAACCACCGTGCCCTGCTGAGGTTTTCTTTTTCTCTAGCAGCTAAACAAGCACCAGCCTCTAGGGAAGCCACATTCACACAGCTGCATCTCACCTGCCGCCAGACGCTGGCTCATGACTCGCTCCCCTCGGCCACCAGCCCTAATGACCACTTTGATTGGACAAGAGACTGATTTCTGTAACTTTTCTATGAAAAGGAATCTTGTGTGCTAAATTTTTGTCCTAAAGTAAAATGACTGGTTATTTAAGAAAGAGAGAGCACAGGACAAACCATTAAGTCGCAGCATGTTGTAAACAGTCTGTATAAGTTGTGATAAGGTTCATAAAAAAAACGTACACCTGTAATCCTAGCACTTTGAGAGGCCAAGGTAGGCAGATTACTTGAGCCCAGGAGTTCAAGACCAGCCTGGGCAACGTGGTGAAACTCTATCTCTACTAAATTACAAAAATTAGCCTGGTGTGGTTGTGCATGCTTTTAATCCCAGCTACTCGGGAGTCTGAGGCAGGAGAATGGCGTGAACCCGGGAGGCAGAGGCTGCAGTGAGCTGAGATGGCACCACTGCACTCCAGCCTGGGACACAGAGAAAGACCCTGTCTCAAAAAAAAATTTTTTTTTAAGTATGAAAGGAATTTTGTATATGTTTAAGCTGGCTATTACTAAAAGGAAATTGCTTATAGCAGTCTTTCTAAAGATTGAACTTTGATATTAAAAGTACACTAATTGGTCCAGGTGCAGTGGCTCACGCCTGTAATCCCAGCACTCAGGAGGCCTAGGCGGGCGGATCATAAGGTCAGGAGTTTGAGACCAACCTGGCCAACATGGTGAAACCCTGTCTATACTGAAAATACAAAAATTAGCTGAATGTGGTGGCGGGAACCTGTAATCCCAGCTACTCGGGAGGCTGAGGCAGAAGAATCGTTTGAACCCGGGAGGCAGAGGTTGCAGTGAGTTGAGATGGTGCCATTGTACTCCAGCCTGGGCAACAGGCTGAGACTCCATCTCAAAAAAAAAAAAAAGTACACTAATTAATATAAAACCAAAAGTTTTCGGTTAGAGAAAAGTTTTGTTAAAATAATAATTTGCTATTAATAAAATTTGATGTTTAGGTGGGCGCGGTGGCTCACACCTGTAATCTCAACATTTTGCGAGGCCGAGGCAAGTGGGTCACCTGAAGTCAGAAGTTCGAGACCAGCCCGACCAACATGGTGAAACCCTGTCTCTACTAAAAATACAAAAATTAGCCAGGCGTGGTGGTGGACACCTGTGATCCCAGCTGCTCAGGAGGCTGAGGCAGGAGAATCGCTTGAACCTGGGAGGCGGAGGTTGCAATGAGCCGAGATTGTGCCACTGCACTCCAGCCTGGTAACAAAGCAAGACTCCATCTCAAAAAAAAAAAAAATTGATGTTTAATTCTGTGTTGATCCTTGCCTTCTGTTCTTGTGCCCTTGCCAAGGTGTATCTTTTTGCTTGGTTGGGATGATAACCTTCCCTTTCAGCCTTTTTTTTCATCAGCTCCTGTAACTTTCTTTTCCAATTGTAACTACTGCTGTGGCCTGATGCTGAAATGTTGATCTTAAAGGTCTAGAAAAGCAATGTTTTCCTTCATATAACTTGATTCTGTACTCTTGGCTTTTCTTGTTATACATTGTTCAGTATAGCCAGGAAACTTCTCATGCTGTTACTAAGAGTCATGCATTGCCCTGCTCAAGGTGCTGGTTTTCTTGTTTCCTTTCCTCCATAACATCAGGTACACTCATGACCCTAGACACACTCTTCCTGCACCTGACTAAATTCAAATATCCTTTTTCATCAGGTTTGACTTGCAGGTTAGCTCAATGGGCTTCCAGAGGAGAAACAATGACTGCAGAAGGTGTTTCTTTGCCTTTTGAGTAACTGGCCTCAAAAAACGAAGATTTTGCATTTTATCAAGATAATTTCCAGTGTCATTTTTATTTGGTTTTTTGATTGCTTATGAAAACTGAGCTTGTTTTTACATCCATGTAACTTTCTGCCTTGCCATTGAAGATGGCAATGGTTACATGAGTAACTATTATTTTACAATGACCTAGGATTCTATTTTGATCAAATGTTTTGAGCCTTTTAACATCTTTCACAAAAGTCCTCAAAATCAAATCCTACATTAAGCATCTCACTTAGACTTATTGCAGGCAGGATCATCAAAGCTATAAAAATGAATCATTACGAGATTATACATATTTTTTTGAGACAGAGTCTCACTCTGTTGCCCAGGCTGGAGTGCAGTGGCACAGTCATAGCTCACCGCAGCCTCGAACTCCTGGGTTCAAGTGAACCCAAAGTGCTGGGATTATAGGAGTGAGCCTCCACACCTGGCCTGTAAAATCTTTTTGCAGCTTCCAGTTGTGTCATGAACTCCAAAATCACCACCTCCAGCCTGCTGATTACATACACTGGAAGAAACATCAGTTACAGGACTCTTTCCCCTGCACTTTGGAAGGGTCCTTAAAAGGTACTATTAACAAATCCATGTGCTACCAAGTTACAGGGAGTTGACTCCTGGGCACACATAGAGTATGAGTCTGTTTTCACACTGCTATAGAGAACTGCCCGAGACTGGGTAATTTATAAACAAAAGAGGTGACAGCCAGAGGAAGATGCAAAGGAAAGGCATCCCAGGCAGGGAGCATTGCAGCTACAAATGCCCCGAGAGCCTGTATGAGTTTGATTTCACACGCTGTAAAGACACTACCTGAGACGGGGTAATTTATCAACAAAAGAGGGTTCATTAACTCACAGTTCCCCATGGCTGGGGAAGCCTCAGGAAACTTAGAATCATGGTGGAAGGTGAAGGGGAAGCAAGGTACGTCTTAATTTAATTTTGCGTTCATCCTGTTCATCATGGCAGGGGAGAGAGAAAGAGCAAAGGGGGAAGAGCCCCTTATCGAACCATCAGATCTCGAGAGAATTCACTCAGTATCACGAGAACAGCGTGGGGGAAACAAGCTCCCATGACCCAATCAGCTCCCACCAGGTCCCTCCCTCAACACATGGGGATTACAATTCGAGATGAGATTTGGGTGGGGACACACAGCCAAACCGTATCACATCACCTAAAAAAGGCACCAACTCCTGCTGAATCTTGAACATTCCACACTGGTATCTGAAACCAAACTCAAGCTAACCAAAGCCTTGTCTTCAGATCCGGGGGAAGACAACCATCGAAGTGAACGGCTTTCATGAGACACAGGGCTGGGTTTATACTCCAAGACGTTAAGACATTTCATAGTTTTCCCTCTATCTGAATTAATATAATTTGCTCTATGTCTTAGTACTATATACTTTAGATGTTTAGCTACCTGTGAGCTTCCTTTTCCTGTTCTTATCAGAACTGAACAGCGCTTATTGCCTTTGTATTTAAAGTGTTACTGATTCTTTGTTTTGTTTTCCAAAGTCAAGAAAACCTTTTTTCTTTTAACCTATTTATAGGTGACAGAAACTGAGTAAAATAACAAAGTTCAGCTTTCTCTCTCTACCTTCTACCTCCAGAATTCAAAAACTATTCATGAGCATTCTTACTTACAGCAATATGGTGGTTTGCATAAGTTCAATAAGAATACATTTTCTTTTGTAACAGGACACTTTGGGGATATTATTTTAACAAGACCTTTGACTGAAATAACACTTTCCGATAAAGTTCCAGCAAAGCCAATTTAAAAAGAGCCTACACGGCCAGCTGCTATTCCTGCTGCAATTTACACAAATGATCAAGCCAAATAGAATAAGACTAAAACTTATTTTGTACACAAATTGGTCTTATTATTATTTCTCTGTGGTAGAAAGGGGGAACTAAAGAGATGAAAAAAATTACGTTTCAAAAGAAAACACTTGTTCTGCAATTCCAGCCCCGACCACTGTTCTTGAGTTTTATTTTTTGCCTATAATTCAAACTGAGTCTTGAATTATCTCTTGGCTACACATCTCTAAAGAGGATCCAGGTTGTAATTTTCTTCATGATCGTTTTAGTTGGCTCCCTAATGGGGTTGATTCCTTTCTTCCTGTTAGGGGCGCATAAATTCTTGTTGAGAGGCAAAGCCAGCTGGACTTCCTGGGTGGCGTGGGGACTTGCAGAAATTTTCTGTCTTACAAGAGGATTGTAAAACGCACCAATCAGAGCTCTGTAGCTAGGATTGTAAAACGCACCAGTCAGAGCTCTGTAGCTAGCAAGGGGATCGTAAAACACATCAATCAGCGCTCTGTAAAAATGCACCAATCAGCGCTCTGTAGCTAGCAAGAGGATTGTAAAATGCACCAATCAGCGCTCTGTAAAATACACCAATCTGCACTCTGTAAAATGCACCAATCAGCAGGATCCTAAAAGTAGCCAATCACAGGGAGGATTGAAAAAAGGGCACTCTGATGGGACAAAAATGGAACATGGGAGGGGACAAATAGGGAATAAAAGCTGGCCACCCCAGCCAGCAGCAACAACCTGCTCAGGTCCCCTTCCATGGTGTGGAAGCTTTGTTCTCTTGCTCTTCACAATAAACCTTGCTACTGCTCACCCTTTGGATGTGTGCCATCTTTGAGAGCTGTAACACTCACTGCAAAAGTCCGTGGCTTCATTCTTGAAGTCAGCGAGACCACGAAACCACCAAAGGAACCAACTCCAGACACATTATGCCTGTACGTTATAATTCTACCACTCAAATTATTAATGCCATTTATCTCTCAAATCTCTCTCATTCAAAGTCTCCTGGAGCTGTTGCTGAAGCTATACCATATCAAGCACCCTCTGTCTAGGCCCAGGGACTGCTGAGGAAGAGAAGGGGGCGTGAGATGGTAAGGGCTGGCTTCAAAGGATAAAACTAGTTCAGGCTGGGTGCGGTGGCTCATGCCTGTAATCCCACCACTTTGGGAGGCCAAGGCAGGCGGATCATCCAAGGTCAGGAGTTCGAGACCAGCCTGGCCGACATGGTGAAACCCGTCTCTACTAAAAATACAAAAACTAGCTTCACATGGTGGCACGCGCTTGTAATCCCAGCTACTCTGGAGGCTGACGCAGGAGAATGGCTTGAACCCGGGAGGCAGAGGTTGCAGTGAGCCGAGATCATGCCACTGCACTCCAGCCTGGGTGACAGAGTGAGACTCCATCTCAAAAAAAAAAAAAAAAAAAAAAAAAAAAAAAAAAAAAACTAGCTCAGACCCTCCAAATCAAGGACAGTGCATAGATGCCTGCACTGCTGACAAATCAAGGGACTGTGCCTCCTGGGCCATTAGGTGGTTCCCTCTCCATCCCTCCAACTCTAACCCTCTAAAGAATTTCCTGCTTCCCATAGACTTAATTACCAAGAGGATGTAATGACACCTAGTGACACAGCCTCCAGAATACAGCTGTTCCCAGTTATGGGATTTATACAAATAGAGATACAATTAAAACGGTATTGGCCGCCTTAGGACAAATTACTAAAAAGACCACAAAAAGCACAGCAGCATATCAAAGTCTCTAAATTCCTTAGCTGAAATGGTTTTAACAAAATGCTTACGTTTCGTGTAGCTAATTGCTACAAGTCAGAGACTGAGACCAAAATTATGATAGCTCAACACTTGGAACTTATAGATAAGCCAGTTTTGTCACTTCGCCTTTTGGCTTTTGGTTTTCAGCTCTTATATTACCTCCAATTCCGCCTGGCCCAGAACGTTGAGTTGGCTGTAAGTCTTTTAGCTGTAAGCCCCTTGGCAATCAGGGTTCCACTGAAGGGCTGGAGGGACCAGGGCAGGTAGCCCCACCTCCCCCAGCAACAAGGTGGGCCAAGATAAAGGTTTGGCCGTGGATGCTGCCTATGGCAAATCTCAGCCAAAAGCGGGAAATGGAGACGAAAAATAAAATTCTAAGCCACCCAACTGACTGAACCGACGGGCTCCTCACCCCTTGGTCAAGGGGACCCCAGAGAAACCTGAAAAATGGAGTTCTCAGCCCTGAGGGGACAGGAGATCAGATGCGTCCCATGACACCCCTCCCCTGTGTGGTTAGACGCAGCAACTGCCCAGCATGAGTGTTGAGATAGAGAACATCGCCTGGCAGAACCGACTGTGGCCATAAGACGCCACATTATCAACGGGACCTGAGGCCACCCCAGGCAGGGGCGAAGTCACACACGCTGCACTTATTTATGTTCTACCTGCCACGGGAGTTTTCTTTTTCTCTGACACCCAAACGCTGGCCTTGAGACGAACAACGTTAAAGCAGGTGCAGCTCACCCCCTGCCAGACACTGCCTCGCTGACCCCTGCTCCCCCAGCCAGAACCACAGCTGCCATCGGACAACAGCCGCATTTCAGTAACTGTCCCCTGAGCAGGGACCCCCAGCCCCGGACTGGTTCTGGTTTACAGAGGCTGCGCACCGAGTGCTTCCCGTCCCGGCTCCACCTTCTGACGTGCAGGGCCTGATTGTAACGCAGTTAGATGTGCAGTCTCCACCCCAAGGTGAACGTGGGTGGTATATAACATGCCCGTTTATTGTATGCAGTGTAGGACTCTCTCATAACTATTCATAAGATGTTTCTATAACCTGCTGAATATGCATATGTGTCCGGCTCATTCAGCATAAATTCCGTTCCACCCTCCCCTCTTTCAAAGTGCTTACTTTTGGTTTTCAGCTGGAGCTTCGGCTTCCACCTGTAGGTTGTCATCTCCTTCTTAAGAAATAAAACTCTAAATTTATAAAGTGCGATTTTTAAGTCCACAGCTCCTCTCACTTACTAATATGAGTTAAGTTTCCTCCGTGCTTTTGAAGGGCTCGATGGCTCATTTCATTTAGTGCTGAGTCATCTTCCATTGTCTGGATGGACCACGGGCTATTTATCCACTCACTTACGAAAGGACATCTTGGTTCCCTCCACGTTTTGGCCATTATGAATAAAGCTGCTATAAATTCATCCTACGCAAGCTTTTATGGGTACATAAGTCTCCAACTCCTTTGGATAAATACCAAGAGACACAATTTCTAGATCGTATGATAAAAGTATGTTTAGTTTTGTAAGAAACTGCCAAATTTTTTTCCAAAGTACCATTTTCCCACCAGCAATAAATGAATGAAACGTCCACGTCTCCACCAGCGCTTGGTGTTGTCAGTGTTTTGGATTTGGGCCATTCCAGTCGGTATGCAGTAGTGTTATTTAATTTGCATTTCCCTGATGACATACGGTGTTGAGCATCCTTTTTTTTAAGACACAGGGTCTGGCTGTTGCCCAGGCTGGAATGCAGTGGTGCAATCACGGCTCACTGCAGCCTTGAACTCCTTGTTTCACACAATCCTCCTGCCTCAACCTCCCAAGTAGCTGGGACTATAGCTGTGCACCACCACACCCAGATAATTTATTTATTTTATTTTTTTTTTTAGGGATAGGGTGTCTCACCATGTTGCCCAGGCTGCTCTCCAACTCCTGGCCTCTGTGATCCCCCTGCCTCCGCCTGCAAAGTATTTTTTCACATGCTTATTTGCCATCCATATATCTTCTTTGATAAGGTGTCCTTTCAGATCTTTGGCCTGTTTTTTAAACAGATTTTTTTTTATTGCTGAGTTTTAAAAGTACCTTGACTATTTTGAACACTGGTCCTGGTCCTTTATCAGGCACGAGTTCAGTGAAGATTTTCTCTCAGTCTGTGGCTTATCTTTTCTCTGTCTTAACAGTGTTATATCACCTTTTCTTATCAATTTTTTTTCGTGGGCCAAGCTTTGGTGGTTGTATTAGTTACACTTTTGTACTTTATTTTTCGTAGCATACTGAATGTTTCTAAGCTCCTTGATGGCCTCTCCCTCCAAGGGAGGAACACGCACGTCCTGGTGGCGTAGGAGAGAGGAGGGGGTCGTGTCACCCACGGCAGCCCCTCACAGTGCCGGGGCTCAGAGCCCTGCTCTCTGCAGGAAGACATCTACGTGTGATTTTTGCCCTTAAGTGTTTGACAGAGTTTACTGGGAAAGCCATGTAGACCTGGAGTCTTCTTAGTGTGCAGATTTTAAATGATGGATTCAATTTCTTTAATAAGATTTTTTTCAGATTTTCTATGTAATCTTATATTTATTTTAATAAATTGTATTTTCCAAGAATTATCCATTTCATCTCAATTGGCAAGTTTATTGGCATTAAAATGATCATAACATCTTTTTTGTTTGTTTGTTTTTAATTTTTATTTTACTTTAAGTTCCGGATACATATGCAGGTTTGTTCCATGGGTATACATGTGCCATGGTGGTTTGCTGCACCTATCAACCTGTCACCTAGGTTCTAAGCACCGCATGCATTAGCTATTTGTCCCGATGCTCTCCCTCCCCTCACTGCCTCCCCTCCCGCCCACAGGCCCCGGTGTGTGATGTTCCCCTCCCTGTGTCCATGTGTTCTCATTGGATCATAACACAATTTTGAAATCTCTGACTGCCCGCAGGATCTCCAGCGCATCCTTTGTCATTCCTGGTACCAGTTATTCATGTTTTCTTTCTTTTTCTCATGAGCAGCCTCATCAAGGGCTTATCAACTTTATTAGTCTTTTCAAACACTAAACCTTGGCTTTTTCAATTCGCTCTACGGTATCATTTTTCCATCATTTTGTCCTCATCTTCACTATTCTCTTCCTTCTTTCTTTGGATTTAATTCGCTGTTCTTTATGCAGCTCCTTGAGATCAATGATGGTCAGTCATTCTTCTTTTCTGATATATGCATTTAGAGGCTATGTATTTCCCTCTAAGCCTGGCTTTGGCTTTATCCCACAAGCTTTATGTAGTATCTCCATAACTAATTGCAAAACATTGTCTAATTTCCACTGTGGCTTCTTCTTTGAACCATGAATTATCTAGAATTGTGTTTCTTAATTTCTGAGGACATAGTGATGTTTAATTCTCCTTTTTATTTCTTGCTCAATTGCACTGTAATTTTCAATCCTTTGAAATTTGTGGAGAATGGATTTTGTGGCCCAACATAATGTCAGTGTTCACATCTGAGTGTATTTGAGACGAGTGGATGTGCTGTAGCCGTTTTGTGCAGGATTCTACACTTGTGAGTTAAGTCAGGTTCATTCATCACGTTGGCCACATCTTCTGTCCTCAGTGATGTTTTTTGTCTGCTTGCTCTGTCGGTTATTGAGAGACTCATGCGGAAAACTTTCTGCTGCAATTGATAACATGCATATTTTCCCTATAAGTTTGTCCACTTTGAGGCATATTAGGTACATACAAAAGTAAAACTGTTAAAACTTTCTGGCGAATCAAAATTTTTATCATTTTGAAATGTCACCTGCATCACTAGCAGAACTTTAGCTGTAAGGTCTCTGCCTAACATAAAGAGAGCTTATGTGGATATTCTCGTGGTCTAGTTTCCCCTCTTCACTGTCAATCTTTCTGAATCTCGATATCTTCTCTAAATCTACTGTCAATGGAGTTTAGTTGCGTTTTGGAAGGCTTTTTCTTTGTTTGTTTGTTTTTTGGTTTTTGCCTGCATGGCCATTTTGTTCTTTTAATTGGAATATTAGTCGATTTATGTTTAATGTAATTTGGATATGTTTGGGTTTGAATTGGATGCCATAATATTGCTTTCTATTTTGGCCTTGCCTGTTCTATGTATATTTATTCTCATTCCTTGTCTTTTTTTAAATGATTTATTGTTTTGTTTTACTTAAAACATCTGTAAACCAACATTTATCTTTATATAAACTGTTTCAAATTCTCTTCCACTGGACAGTATGAAGATTTCTCAAAGAGCTTAAAGCAGATCACCATTTGATCCAGCAATCCAGATCTACCCAAAGGAAAAGAAGTCATTGTATCAAAAAGACACCTGCATGTGCATGATTATCACAGCACAATTCACAATTGCAGAGATATGGAACCAATCTGTGTGCCTATCAGCTGACAAGCAGATAAAGAAAATGTGGTAGATATACACAGGAAACGCTACTCATCCATAAAAAAGAATGAAATAATATCTTTCACTGCAACTTCGATGGAGCTGGAAGCCATCATTCTAAGTGAAGTAGCTTCTCACTTATAAGTAGGAGCTAAGCTGTGGGTATGCAAAGGCCTGTAGAATGTTATAATGGTCACTGGAGACTCAGAAGTGTGGAGACTGGGAGGGCAGTGAGGGATGAAAAACTAGCTATTGGATACAGTGTACACTACTTGAGTGTGGGGCGCACTAAAATCTCAGACTTCACCGCTATACAATTCATCTATATAACCAAAATCTACCTGTACCCTAAAGCAAGTGAAATAAAAAATAAAAAAGTAAAATAAAAATATCCAAATTCCTTTCCGTTGATTTTTGGGAGCCTAATTATTTCTTCATAGTAGGAAGAAATGATTTGCTAACTGCAAATTTCACAATTAGCAGTGCTAAGTTAAAAATTTTTGTTTAAGGAAAGTAAATCTGATATGAGGTTGTACTTCTGATTCTTCACAAAATTCTTTTAATAATTCTGATGTATATAGTAGCTTATATTTTGAAGACATTTACATTGTGTCAGGTAATTTTTTTATTATACTTTAAGTTCTAGGGTACGTGTGCACAACGTGCATGTTTGTTACATATGTATACATGTGCCATGTTGGTGTGCTGCACCCATTAACTCGTCATTTACATTAGGTATTTCTCCTAATGTTATCCCTCCCCCCTCCCCCCACCCCACGACAGGTCCCAGTGTGTGATGTTCCCCACCCTGTGTCCAAGTGTTCTCATTGTTCAATTCCCACCTATGAGTGAGAACATGCGGTGTTTGGTTTTCTATCCTTGCAATAGTTTGCTCAGAATGATGGTTTCCAGCTTCATCCATGTCCCTACAAAGGATATGAACTCATCCATTTTTATGGCTGCATAGTATTCCATGCTGTATATGTGCCACATTTTCTTAATCCAATCTATCAGTGATGGACATTTGGGTTGGTTCCAAGTCTTTGCCATTGTGAATAGTGACGCAATAAGCATACGTGTGCATGTGTCTTTATAGCAGCATGATTTATAATCCTTTGGGTATATACCCAGTAATGGGATCACTGGGTCAAATGGTATTTCTAGTTCTAGATCCCTGAGGAATCACCACACTGTCTTCCACAATTGTTGAACTAGTTTACAGTCCCACCAACAGTGTAAAAGCGTTCCTATTTCTCCACATCCTCTCCAGCACCTGTCATTTCCTGACTTTTAAATGATCGCCATTCTAACTGGTGTGAGATGGTATCTCATTGTGGTTTTGATTTGCATTTCTCTGATGGCCAGTGATGATGAGCATTTTTTCATGTGTTTGTTGGATGCATAAATGTCTTCTTTTGAGAAGTGTCTGTTCATATCCTTTGCTCACTTTTTGATGGGGTTGTTTGATTTTTTCTTGTAAATTTGTTTAAGTTCTTTGTGGATTCTGGATATTAGCCCTTTGTCAGATGGGTAGATCGCAAAAATTTTCTCCCATTCTGTAGGTTGCCTGTTCACTCTGATGGTAGTTTCTTTTTATTATTATTATTATTATTATACTTTAAGTTTTAGGGTACATGTGCACAATGTGCAGGTTAGTTACATATGTATACATGTGCCATGCTGGTGTGCTGCACCCATTAACTCATCATTTAGCATTAGGTATATCTCCTAATGCTATCCCTCCCCCCTCCCCCCACCCCACAACAGTCCCCAGAGTGTGATGTTCCCCTTCCTGTGTCCATGTGTTCTCATTGTTCAATTCCCACCTATGAGTGAGAACATGCGGTGTTTGGTTTTTTGTTCTTGCAATAGTTTACTGAGAATGATGATTTCCAATTTCATCCAAGTCCCTACAAAGGACATGAACTCATCATTTTTTATGGCTGCATAGTGATGGTAGTTTCTTTTGCTGTGCAGAAGCTCTTTAGTTTAATTAGATCCCACTTGTCTATTTTGGCTTTTGTTGCCATTGCTTTTGGTATTTTAGTCATGAAGTCCGTGCCCACGCCTATGTCCTGAATGTAATTGCCTAGGTTTTCTTCTAGGGTTTTTATGGTTTTAGGTCTAACATTTAAGTCTGTAATCCCTTGTCTTTTATAAATTGACCATTTTCTATTTTTCATTTGGCACCTCTGTTAGTCTGGTGATCATATAATTTTGCTGTTCTTTCAGTGTTGACACTAGGGATTTCATCATGCATCCTTGGCTAATATGAATTGGTACTTTCACCTTTTCTTGAACAATGCAAGGATTTCAGAACACTTTCATTCCATCTACCTCCCTCTCCGCTTTAGTACTATTTTCATTATGTATTTTAAGTCTATATATAGTTGAAACCCCACAAGACATTGCTGCTGTTGTAATTTTCTACAGTTCATTTTCATTTAGATTCACCTCCCACCTTTTTTTTTTTTTTTTTTTGAGACGGAGTCTTGCTCTGTCGCCAGGCTGGAGTGCAGTGGCGTGATCTCAGCTCACTGCAACCTCTGCCTCCCAGGTTCAAGTGATTCCCCTGCCTCAGCCTCCCAAGTAGCTGGGACTACAGCCATGCACCACCATGCCTGGCTAATTTTTTGTATTTTAGTAGAGACGGGGTTTCACCATGTTGGCCAGGATGGTTTCGATCTCCTGACCTCATGGATTCACCCACTTTTTATGTTTACCATTGTTCTTCATTTGGCCTTACATCCAGAATCATTTTTCTTCTACTTGGAGAGCCCCCTTTCATATTTCTGTTAGTGTGAATCTGTTGATGACAAAATCACTTTTTTGTGTATTTGAAAGTGTCATTATTTTACCTTTATTCATGAAGGATATTTTTGCTAGGTATAGAATTCTAGGTTGGCAGTTATTTTCGTTCTGCACTTTTTGACGACTGGTATCCACTGTCTTTCAGTTTCCATTGTTTCTTTTGAGAAGTCAACTTTTCATCTAAATGTGGCCCCTTTCAAAGTAGGGCTTGCCTTTCAAGGTAATCCATTTATCTGGCCAACTTTGAAATTTCTCCTCATCTTTGGTTTCAGTGGTTTTTACTATGATGTGCTCAGGTGTGGTTTTCTTTTGGTTTATTCTACTTGGAGTTCATAGGCAACCACAGGCATCCCAGTGCTAAAACTCTACAGACCCAGGCTACAGCCACCACCCTCAGCTCTTCCCAGAAAAGGCTGTGCAGTCCCAGTATGACCACACAAACTGTCTGTGAAAGTAGCTTCAGGAGAAACAAGGTACTGTCATGGGCTTCATTCACTCCTTAATTTGATAATTAATTCCACACACATTAATGGAGTTTTTCTCACATTCCAGGCACTCAGCGAGGTGCTGGGGTAGGGGAGAAACAGAAAGATGACAAAGACTTGGTTGCCACACTCAAAGAGCTCACAGCCTGGTAAGCAGAAAGGTGGTCCTGCATTTGCCTCTGGACCACCAACCTAGATGAGGGAAAAGGCTCTGAGGAGTTCCATGGTAATGCTGCTTGGAAGTGAAGTCTGAAGTCAGGACTCCTGACTCCAGGATTCACATCCACCCTGTTTCATTAATGCCAATTGAAGGACACTCTTTATCTTGGGCACCCTGGAAGAAACCCCCCAGCCAGTTTCCTATTCCCTTCCCCATGGGATCTGCCTGTGTAGACAGTCCTCCGTCCTTCCCCATCATCCAAACCATTCTTGATAAATAGCTCAGATTTTGAAGATAAATGACAATAACAGCCCCACCTCATTCTGCATTATTTACAATTTTGTTCTTGATGCCTTCCAGAGCCCACTCCCAACCCAGGGCTCAGTTTTGTTTGTTTGTTTGTTTGTTTGTTTGTTGTTGTTTTGAGATGGAGTTTCACTCTGTCACCCAGGCTGGAGTGCAGTGGCGCAATCTTGGCTCACTGCAACCTCCACCTCCCAAGTTCAAGTGATTCTCCTGCCTCAGCCTCCCAAGTAGCTAGGATTACAGGCACCCGCCACCATGCCCAGCTAATCTTTGTATTTTTAGTAGAGTCGGGGTTTTGCCATGTTGCCCAGGCTGGTCTCGAACTCCTGACTGCAAGTGATCCACCCGCCTCGGCCTCCCAAAGTGCTGAGGTTACAGGCGTGAGCCACTGCACTCGGCCTCTGTTTTGTTTTGTTTTGCAAATGCCATCTATTAAGGACACCCACCTCAAATATGGTAGTGGAGAGTTTCTATTGCATGGAGCCTAATAGAATCATGTTTTCTGGCAAGGAAAAGGGAAATTAGCAAGCATGGAATGGGAGGTTTGGATGCTGTTGTTTGGCCAAGAAGCTCACTCTCACCTGCTCTACACCCAAGACTGGCAAATAACATGGTGTACCCATCACACTGGAAAAAGAGTAAAAAGGCAGATAATGTGAAGTACCAGCAGGTGTGCAAGGACACAAGCCTTCCCATGCATGACTGATGGGACAGGGATGGCTATTTCCTCTGAGAAAGAATTCTCTATTAAAATAAAAATGATAGAGCTGTTTTGCTCAGTCACCCCACATTTGGGAATCTATCCTACAGAAATCAAAATTCCAGTTTGTAAGAATCTATGTTCAAGAATATTTACTGAAGCTATTTTTGTAGTGGTAAGGAAAAAAATAGAAATAATCTTTATTTCCCTTGATAAGGAAATGTGGAATACATTTCAGCACATCTACACTCTAGAATCCATCATGCAAGTTTTTTGCTGATTTTTTTTTGTGATAAAATACACCATCTTAATCATTTTTAAGTGGCCGGCTCAATGATGTTAAACTAATTCCCAGTGTTGTGCGGCGATCACCGCCATCCATCTCCAGAACTTTCCATCTTGAAAAACCAAAGCTCTGCCCTCATTAAACACTTGCTCCCACTCCGCCTCCCCCAGCTCCTGGAAGCCACCATTCTACTTTCTATCTCAAGAATTTGACTCCTCCAGAGACCTCATATGAGTGGAATCATACGATATCTGACCTTTTGTGACTGGCCTATTTCACTCAGTATAACATCCTCGGGGTCCATCCATGTCATAATAACTGTCGAATCCCCTTCCTTCCTAGGACAGAATCATATTCCCTTGTATGGATGGACCACGTTTTGTTCACTTACCCATGGATGGACACTTCAGCTGCTTCCCCATTTTAGCTATCGTGAGTAACGCTGCTGTGAACCTGGGTGCACATGTATCTCTGAGACCCTGCCTTCAATTCTGCGGGGTAACTGCTGGATCATACAGTAATTCCATCTCTAAGTTTCTGAGAAGTGATATGGCTACTGTTTTCCACAGTGGTTGCACCATTTCACACTCCCACCAGCAGCTCTCATGCAATTATTAAGAAGAATGAGGGCCGGGCGCTGTGGCTCACGCCTGTAATCCCAGCACTTTGGGAGGCGGAGGTGGGTGGATCATAAGGTCAGGAGTTTGAGACCAGTCTGACCAACGTGGTGAAACCCTGTCTCTACTAAAACTACAAAAAATTAGCTGGGCATAGTGGTGCGTGCCTGTAATCCCAGCTACTCAGGAGGCTGAGGCAGGAGAATCACTTGAACCTAAGAGGTGAAGATTGCAGTGAGCAGAGATCACGCCACTGCACTCCAGCCTGGGCGACAGAGTGAGACTTCATCTCAAAAAAAAAAAAAAAAGAAGAAGAATGAGGCTGGGCACAGTGGCTCACACCTGTAATCCCAGCACTTTGGGAGGCTGAGGCAGGCGGATTACCTGAGGTCAGGAGTTTGAGACCAGCCTGGCCAACATGGTGAAACCCCATCTCTACTAAAAATACAAAAATTAGCCAGGCGTAGTGGCAGATGCCTGTAATCCCAGCTACTCAGGAGGCTACAGCAGGAGAATCGCTTGAGCCCGGGAGGCCGAGGTTGCAGTGAGCAGATATCACAACACGGCACTCCAGCCTGGAAGACAGAGACTCTATCTCAAAAAAAAAAAAAGAAGAAGAAGAAGAAGTAGTCAGGATTCAAGTATTGAAAGATGTCGATGTCATTGGTCAAGCTCCCAGGGTGGGGGTTTGCAGGAGGGAAGCTGGCTGGGGATGCCTTGGGAACCTGAAGAAGCAGGAACAGCTGAGCACGAGGGTCAGACAACGCCGGGGGCCGAAGCCCCGGGCTGAAGGGACCGGGCCTGGTCCCCGCATCGCTGTGCAGTGATAGCAGCTGACGGTCTCGCTTTGGGAGAAACGGGAGATAGATACACACACACTGACATTTACATTTCACTTGTGTGCGTTCGGGGAAAGCTGCGGAATGAATGGGACGGAACGACACTCTGGTCTGAGCAGGTAAAGCAGGTGCTTGGGGCCACGAGAACTTTTTTAATCACATCAAGTGGAACACGCTTGAGACAACGGTTTCGGAAGCCACGCAGGTGCGCTGCGAGATCGTTTCTACCACCTGAGAACCGTCAACAACAGAGGACTTGCCGGGCCTTGATCTCCACATCTGGAAAACAGACACGTTCTCCACCCCGCGGGCCTTTATTTCATACTAAACGGAACGACGCGCTTGAAGCACGTGGCGTGGAGCGAGCCTTCTGCGCATGCGCAAATGCTTCCTCCTCGCCCCTCTGCGCACGCGGCAGGAGCAGAAAGTCAGACAAAGAGAACGTCGTGGAGAAGAACACAAAGGGAGACAGAGACACAGAGAAAGAGAGAGACAGAGACACAGGGAGACAGAGACACAGAGAGAGACACAGAGACACAGAGAGAGACACAGAGACACGACAGAGACACAGAGTCAGAGACAGAGAGACAGAGATACAGAGACAGAGAGACACAGAGACAGAGACACAGAGAAAGAGAGAGACAGAGACACAGGGAGACAGAGACACAGAGAGAGACACAGAGACACAGAGAGAGACACAGAGAGACAGAGACACAGAGTCAGAGACAGAGAGACAGAGATACAGAGACAGAGAGAGACACAGAGACAGAGACACAGAGAAAGAGAGAGACAGAGACACAGGGAGACAGAGACACAGAGAGAGACACAGAGACACAGAGAGAGACACAGAGAGACAGAGACACAGAGTCAGAGACAGAGAGACAGAGATACAGAGACAGAGAGAGACACAGAGACAGAGACACAGAGAAAGAGAGAGACAGAGACACAGGGAGACAGAGACACAGAGAAAGAGAGAGACAGAGACACAGAGAGAGAGACAGAGACACAGGGAGACAGAGACACAGAGACAGAGACACAGAGACAGACACACAGAGACAGACACACAGAGAGACAGAGACACAGAGTCAGAGACAGAGAGACAGAGACACAGAGACAGAGACACAGAGAAAGAGAGACAGAGACACAGAGACAGACTCAGACACAGAGAGAGACAGAGACACGGAGTCAGAGACATAGAGAGACAGAGATACAGAGTCAGAGACAGAGACACAGAGACAGAGACACAGAGAGAGACAGGGACAGAAAGCGTCAGAGACACAAAGAGACAGAGACAGACTCAGAGACAGAGAAAGAGAGACAGAGACACAGAGACAGACTCAGAGACACAGAGAAGAGACACGGAGTCAGAGAGACAGAGACACAGAGTCAGAGACACAGAGAGACAGAGACACAGAGTCAGAGACACAGACAGACACAGAGTCAGAGACACAGAGAGACAGAGACACAGAGTCAGAGACACAGAGGGAGACAGAGTCACGGAAAGAGACAGACACAAACACAAAGAGAGACAGCCCAAGACACAGAGACAGAGAGAGACACAAACACAAAGAGAAACAGAGACAGACACAGAGACAGAGAGACAAGGACAGAGAAAGGATGGGGGAGGGAGAGAGGGAGCAAGAGAGTAACTCCCAGCTGATTAAACACAGCAAAGAGAGAATTCGTGAACTAGAAAAAAAAAAAAGCCAAGGAAAACCAACCAGAATGCAGCACAGACACGAACGAGAAGGAGAGTGCACAGCAGAGGGCCATGCGGATGGTGAGGGGTCCCACACCTGCGTCCTGGAGCCCAGAAGGCGGGAGCAGGGTGGGACCCTGGTGGCCACACAGCTGTTTCCCGAGGCTGCATAGCAAATCACACAGACCTGGAGGTTGAAACGACACAAATGCATCCCCAGAAGTTCTGGGGGCCGGGGGTCTGACATGGCCTCCCCGGGCTAACATCAAGGGGTCCGCAAGGCTGGTTCCTCTGCAGGCTGTCCGGGCTTCGCTTCCCGTCTTTTCCAGCTTCCAGAGGCCACCGGCTCCTCAGCTGTGGCCCCTCCTCCATCTTCAAACCCAGCTCCAAGGCCTCCTCCCTCCTCTCCCACCCTTTGTCCCCTCCCATAAGGACCCTGGTGAGACCCTGGACCCACCCAGATGACCAGGATGATTTCTCACCTCAAGACCCTCAGCCGGCCCCCTCGGCGCAGCCCTTCGCCATGACGTCATGGTGCAGGCCCCGGAATGAGGATGCAGACGGCTTCCGGGCCCTTGTTTGGCCTATCAGACATCAAGGCTGTTTAACATCTTCCTGGAGGTCCTTGCCAGCCCAGTAAGCCAGGACAAGAGGTAAAAGGATGAGGGTTAGGAAGGAACCACAGAGACATCCTGCCTCCACGACAGAGCCCTGACCCCAGCACTGGCACCGTGTTCCCCGCCACGTTCCTGAGCCACTGCCCGGCCCAGCCTGGGCACAGCAGCAGGAGTTGCCCCTAAGGCTCAGGGTGTGCGTTCGCCCCCCTCACCCTACTGTGAAGGAACACCGGAGGCTGGGTGATTCTTAAGGAAAAGAAGTTTAATCGGCTCCCGGTTCTGCAGGCTCTACAGGAAGCGTGGTGCTGGCATCTGCTCGGCTTCCGGGGAGGCCCCAGGAAACCCACAATCCTGGTGGAAGAGAAGGGGGAGCAGGCACGTCACATGGCGAAAGCAGCAGCAAGGTGGGGAGGTGCCGCACACCTTTAAACAGCCAGGTCTCGGGGGAACTCGCTGTCATGAGGACAGCACCGAGGCGATAGCAGTAAACCCTTCCTGAGAGTCCACCCCATGATCCAGTCACCTCCCACCAGGCCCCACCTCCAACACTGGGAATTACAATTCGACATAAGATTTGGGAGGGGACACAGATCGAAACCATACAGGGGTGGAAGGAAGGAAAAGAGGCTGGGAGAGCAGCCATCGGGAATGTGGAGGTGGGGCAGGGGCTCAGGAGCCGGTTGGGTGCCGGGGAGCCGCCCGTGGTGGGAGGAATCTAGGGGGCTGGTCTCTCTCGAGGCACAGGCCTCCCAGGATGCCAGAGGAACTCCCAGTGCAGCAGGGGGGAAGGACTGTCCCCAGGCACAGCGACCCCCCCACCAGCAGACACCAGATGTCCTGAGCCTGCCACAGCTGGGGCAGTGGCAGGAGGGCAGGAGGAAGGGCTCAACCTGCCCTGAGCCAGGCAGCCCCCCCGCCACACCCTCTCCCAGCCTGGGGCATCACACCTGGCAGAGCCTTCCCCGGTCCTGAGCAGCTGCCCAGACCTGGAGGAGTCAGGGCCTCGGAGCCCTGGGCCCCACCTGAGGAGGCCACGGCTGCTAGGAGGGGCCCTTGGCAGGGCCAGCTCCGGCCCCTTCTTCAGACCTGACCCAACCCCAGCTCAGAGGGTGCTCCAGCCGCAGACAGCCCGAGACATCGAGAGGCTCCACCACGGCGACCGGAGCTCCTGGGGACCTCGAGCCCAAGTCTGTCTGACACAGGCCGAGGCTGCACATGGCCGGGCAGTGACGGCCAGGATCCCCCGGGGTCTGAGGCCCATGTGGACAGACGGACGGACGGACAGACGGCAAAGGCAGGAAGGTGTGCTGCTTCCCAGGCTGCCGCAACAAATCTCACCGACTGGCGGCTGAAGCAATGCAAATGCGTCCTCTCGCGGCTCTGGAGGCCGTCTGAAGCCAAGGGTGACAGGCCCGCACCCTCTCTGAAGGCTCCAGCGCAGGGTCCTTCAGCCTCTTCCAGCTCTGAGCAGCCCCCGTGGCTGGTGGCGGCATCACTGCAGCCTCTGCCTCCACCTTCACATGGCTCCTCCCTGCGTCTGTGACTCACAAGGACGGACGTCACTGGGCTAAACCCACTGCAATCCAGTATGACCTCCTCTTACCTCCATCACGTCTGCAAAGGCCCTACTTGCAAATAAGGTAGCAAAGTCTGAGCTTCCAGGGGGACATGAAGCTGGGGACGCCGCTCACCCCAGTATAGAAGAGAATGACGAAGAATGGGCCATGCAGAGCTGCAGTGGGCTCCACGGCTTCCAGAACCCCAGAGAGGCCTGTGGCTCCTTTGCTTCAGATCTGAAGGCAGAAGAGTGGACTGTGATGACCCTGCTAGCCACGAGCCAGGACACACGCATGACAGGATGCACCCAGCACACGACCTACACACGGGCCACGAGCCAGGACACACGCATGAGAGGATGCACCCAGCACACGACCTACACACGGGCCACGAGCCAGGACACACGCATGACAGGATGCACCCAGCACACAACCTACACACACACCACGAGGCAGGACACACGCATGACAGGATGCACCCAGCACACGACCTACACACAGGCCACGAGCCAGGACACACGCATGAGAGGATGCACCCAGCACACAACCTACACACACACCACGAGGCAGGACACACGCATGACAGGATGCACCCAGCACACGACCTACACACGGGCCATGAGCCAGGACACATGCATGAGAGGATGCACCCAGCACACAACCTACACACACACCACGAGGCAGGACACACGCATGACAGGATGCACCCAGCACACGACCTACACACGGGCCATGAGCCAGGACACATGCATGAGAGGATGCACCCAGCACACAACCTACACACACACCACGAGGCAGGACACACGCATGACAGGATGCACCCAGCACACGACCTACACACGGGCCACGAGCCAGGACACACACGACAGGATGCACCCAGCACGCAACCTACACACGGGCCACGAGCCAGGACACACGCATGACAGGATGCACCCAGCACATGACCTACACACGGGCCACGAGCCAGGACACACGCATGAGAGGATGCACCCAGCACGCGACCTACACACGGGCCACGAGCCAGGACACACGCATGAGAGGATGCACCCAGAACACAACCTACACACACACCACGAGGCAGGACACACGCATGACAGGATGCACCCAGCACACAACCTACACACGGGCCACGAGCCAGGACACACGCATGACAGGATGCACCCAGCACACGACCTACACACGGGCCATGAGCCAGGACACATGCATGACACAATGTACCCAGCATGTGACCTACACACGGGCCACAAGTCAGGACACACACGTGACACAAGGCACCCAGCACGTGATCTACACGTGCACCCCAGATTCCCATGTTGAAATATTAACTCCAGGGTGATAAGGTCAGGAGGTGGGGCCTCCTGGGAGGGTGGAGCCCTCATGAATGGGATAGTGTCCCATACAGGAGACCCAGGAGAGACCTCTCCCTCCCGCCGTGTGTGACACAGCCAGAGGCCGCCATCCACTAGCCGGAAACTGGGCCCTTACCAGACACGGAGCCTGCCCTCATGATCACAGACTTTGACCTTGGACTTATAGCCTCCAGAACCGTGATAAATACATTTCTGTTGTTTCCAAGGCCCCTGGTCTGTGTATTTCATTTTGGCAGCCCCAAGGGACTAAGACACAGACCCCCTAAAACCAGCACTGCCAGGGCCCGGGCAACGGGCCCCTCCTATGAGGGGCTGAGGCTGCCTGAGGTGGGGAGGGGCCCGGGGTGATTGTGGGAACTCAGGGCTGTCAGGGGCCCCGGATCCAGGCCCCCATCCTGCCCCCGTCTGGAACCCAGTGGTGTCCCCTCTCAGGCAGCAGCCGTCCTGGCAGGGCAGTTGCTGGGGAAAAGGGGGCCGCAAGGGGAGGTCATCTCTGCTCCCCTGGGGACCCTCGGCAACTCAGAGACCACCTGGACGCTCCGCACTGCTGGGGGCTGGCCGTGGGTCCCCACCCTTGGGAGTGGTCACCGAAGCCACCCCAAGGGGTGACCAGACCCAGAGACATGCAAAGGAGCCCATCACACACAATTCAGGGCCGGGAAGAAGGTGGCACACGTGTGCACCCCCTGGCTGATGCCATCGTCCACGGGTGTGACACACGTGTGCACCCCCCAGCTGGTGCCATCATCCATGGGTGGGACACACGTGTGCACCCCCCGGCTGGCGCCGTCGTCCATGGGCGTGACAGCAGGCTGGGCAGGACCGTTGAAAGGAAGCCAGAAGGAAGGGCCCGTGGGGACAGGGGCCCGGGGGCTCACTTCTCTTTCTTCTTTATAGTTTTCTACATTTTCCAGATTTTCTTTTTTTTTTTTCAGAGTCTCACTCTGTCACCCAGGCTGGAGGGCAGTGGCACAATCTTGGCTCACTGCAACCTCCACCTCCTAGGTTAAAGTGATTCTCCTGCCCCAGCCTCCCGAGTAGCTGGGATTACAGGTGCCCACCACCACATCCAGCTAATTTTTGTATTTTTAGTAGAGACGGGATTTCACCATGTTGGCCAGGCTGGTCTCGAATTCCTGACCTCAGGTGATCCACCTGCTTTGGCCTCCCAAAGTGCTGGGATTACAGGCGTGAGCCGCCGCGCCCGGCTCGTTTTCCAGATTTTCTACAGTAAGCATATGTTGCTTTTATCATCAGAAATGAAGACTATAAAAGGAGAAGAAATAAAAAGGAACTTCCCTGGGGAAACAGCCCCAGTGGAGCCCAAGCCCCCTCCAGGGTGGGGTCAGGGGAGCAGGACACTGGACTGGTCCTGGAAGGTGACCCCCTCCTGGCGTTCAACTCTGCGGGGAGAGGCCCTACCTCCTACTCCTCCAGCAGGAAGTTCAGAGAGCACAGCAGACCACTTGCAAATCACTGTCACCGGAGGCCAGGGGCGGAGGCCACTTCCTCCCTCCCGCCTTCCCTCTGCTGGCCCCAGGACATTTAGGAGTAGAGCTTTGCTAAGGCAGCGGGATTTTGGGATGGGGGTCAGAGAAGTGGGCTACAGCAGAACTCCCCTCCCCAGGGCTGGAACCTGAAAAGGAAAGAAACGTCTACCCCGACACAAGCACGATTCCTTTATTTCGAGCCAGAAAGCAGCCAGTAAACAAGTGCTGCCACCCACAACACCCTGGGCTACCTGCGGTCCCGCGCCTGGCCCTGCAGCCTCGGAAGGGAGCTGTGGGGGTCACCCAGGGCCCACTTCGTGCCCCCACCCTGCCCCCACCCTGCCCTGCTCACTCCCAGCCGCTGCTCCCCTTCCTAAAGAGCAGTCCCTGCTTGAGAGCTCTGAGGAGCAACTTGTTTCTAATCCACAGGATCCTGCACTAAGAGCCCCCCCCACAGCTATCGTGGGGCACCCCAACGTATTCCACCCCTCTGCCCCAGGCACCCAAGGGGCATGGGCACGGCCAGAAGGCCTGTCAGGAGGGCCAGCAGCACCCCCGAGGCTTGTCCCCAAGGTTGGGCGGTTTGGGGCTGGCGGGCACGTTCTCCAGGACCTCACGCAGGGAGAATGTACAAAAGGAAATCTCATCATAGGAGGTCCTGGCCCCGCTCTCGTACAGGCAGGCAAAAACCAGGCCCCCCTCAGGGGCCGGCCCGATGGACGCCAGGTCGGAGTAGCCGCTGGGGCCCTCGTAGATCACCCAGGGCTCTGTCCAGCTGCGCGGGTCCAGCGGGGACTGGCTCAGGCGGATACCCATGTGTAGCCGAGCCCTGCGCCCCACTGGGTGGGAGTACAGCAGCCACGTGGGGCTCTGGGGCGGGGCAGCAAAGGGCATGGGGAGTGCCAGGGTCCAGGACCCCACATCCCCACTGACCCCAGGCCTGGGGCCAGGCTGCCTGGGGCCATCCCCCCGAGGCTGCAGACGGCTGAAGGGCCCACCAGGCACCTGGCCTCCACGGGGGTCTACAGCAGCCTCCTCTGGGGGTTCGTGGACTCCAGGACCGAGGAGTGGAGGCTGGAGGGGACTCCCGGGGCCCACTGACCAACTGTCATCCCGTGGCCTGTTGGGGGCGGGGGCTGGGAAGCCCACGATGCTGCCCTGGCAGCCCCAGGCAGTCTCGGGCAGGGAAGCCACGCGCTCTGCGGGCAGGAAGGAGGTGCCCTCGTCAGTGCTGAGCGCCTGCACACGGCTGCCCAGTGGGCTCCGGGCATTGCAGTAGAGGAAGCTGCCGGCCTGCCCACCGTCCACCGCTGCCAGCTGGCACTCGCCTGAGCGCAGGTTGGGCACGAGGCCTCCACAGCGCCAGGTGCGGCCGTGGTCATCGCTGTAGAAGGCGAAGGAGTGAGGGCTGGTCCGGCAGATCTTGCCAAAACACTCTCGGCGGTCCACGCGGTAGGTGTAGGCGGGTACCAGCAGGCGGCCTGAGGGCAGCTGCACACCGTGGCCGGGACCCACAGCGAATGTGGCCCAGTCTGCAGGGAGGAGGGCAGAGGTGGGAGGGGCTGCTGGGTCCCCGAGGTCGGGGGGCTGGAGGAAGGCACAGGGGGACGGGGAAGGAGGGGCTGGTGCCTCGGGTTAGGACCATCGCACTCTGACCGCCCTTCCACACGACTCATCCCAGCCGCCCTGAGTCCTCCCAGGCTGAACAAGCCTCTCACAGCCCTTAGCAGCCGAGCCCAGGTGGACGGCACCCAGGGAGGCTGGTGAGCGCTGCCCACACAGAGAGAGCGGAGGGCAGGCGGGGGGCATGAGGCCCTGCAGTGGGGTCCCTGGGTTGGCCATGTGTCTGCTGCACTCCCTGCTGTAGCTCCCACGGGCCGGGGTCAGGTGGCCACAGAGGATGGGGTGGAGGGAAAGTTGTGGGTGAGGCCTGGCCAGGCCCTGGGCAGGGTGAGAAGGGAGTAAAGAATAAGAGGAAGGGGTGGGGCGGGGTGGCTGTTGGTTTGGGAGCTGAGAGACACCTCAGCGTCCAGCCTTCTCCTCTGCAGATAAAGAGATTAGCGGGGGGGATGAGAGAGAGTCGGGTCAGCCATAGAGGGCCTGCTCCTGCCCACTGGGTGACTGGGGGTGATCAATACCCATTTGCCTGGGACGGGAGGTGCAGGACGGTCCTGGGGAGAGGGATTTGCCTGGGACGGGAGGCGCAGAACAGTCCTGGGGAGAGGGATTTGTCTGGGACGGGAGGCTCAGGACGGTCCTGGGGAGAGGGATTTGCCTGGGACGGGAGGCGCAGAACAGTCCTGGGGAAAGGGATGGTTGGTTCCCTTGTGGCTGGAGACAGGGGTGGGGCAGAATGGCAATTTCCCGCTGGAATCTCCCTTCCATGTGGACCGTGGCCAATCAAAGGGACCCAGACCGGCACCCTGCCCGCCTACCCTGCACGGCACCACCGATGGCCTCCTCGGTGAGGTCCCGGGCGCTGCCCCACGAGAGGCCGGCGTCACGGCTGGCCACACAGCAGAGGCGCGCGGCGTTCCTTCCCGTGGCGATCTGCACGGCCTCAGGCGTGTGGCCCAGCACCGCGATGAAGAAGAGGAAGACGGTGCCCGTGCCAGCATCGTGCACAGGGCAGGGGTTCATGGACCGGTGCTCCGCCAGGGCTGCTGTCCCCAGCACGTGCAGGGCACCCCACTGCCCAGAGGAGGAAGTTCCGCTGACCAGGACGTCCAGGGACCTGGGCACAGCCCCCCGCAGGGCACCCAGGATCGCTGAGCCTGGTTTGCTCATCTCTACCTCGGGCATCTGCCTGCCGCCGCCACCCCCGCCCCATCCCGGGGTGTGCAGCCCCAGCAGATCCGGCCACTACACCCACACAGAGCCCCCGGCCACTCACTCACCCGCACGGAGCCCCCGGCCAGCGTGCCCCTCCTCAGCACCAGGCGGTGGGCGTGGGAGTCGTCAGGGCTGAGCCGCTGCTCCACAAAGGCCAGCAGGGTGGGCCCGGGGGGCACGGGGAGCAGCGAGGGCACGCGGTAGGTCAGGCCCGTCCTCTCCCGCTCGAAGAGCACTGTCCGTGAAGGGGTACGAGGGACCCCCATGCTCTGCTGGTCAGTACAGGGCCACAGGTCAGCAAGACAGGCCCAGGGAGCCCCACACTCGCTCCCGGTCTGGA
Source organism: Homo sapiens (assembly GCF_000001405.40). Taxonomy (NCBI): domain Eukaryota; kingdom Metazoa; phylum Chordata; class Mammalia; order Primates; family Hominidae; genus Homo; species Homo sapiens. The sequence continues at coordinate 26,508 of NT_187527.1, read as the reverse complement.
CTGGGGAATGCGCTCAGGAGGTGCAGACAGCTCCTGCCCACACCTGGGCCTCTTCCTGTACCCACCTTGGGGTCAGCCCTGTTTCTGACTCCCTCACCCCAGATCTGGAGCAGCCCCTCCCCCACCCTCCCTCGCACCCACTCCACCCCAAATGTCTGTGGAATCAGCCCCTTCCCCTCTCAACACGGCTCTGGGAGCTGACCCTCGGCCAGGCTGGTTGGTGCCAGGGTGCAGGGGAGGCTGGCCAGAGAGCCCCCGGGACCCTGCCAGCCATGTGCCCAGGACACAGGGTCATCCCAGAATTCGCCCAGCAGGAGGTCATGTGGACAATGAGGACCCAAAACCTCGAGCAAGGAGGAGCTCAGTGTCCCCAGAATAGAGGCCACAGCACCGTGGAAGCCACAGCAGAGACACAAAGAGGTGAGCCCACAGGGACCTGTGGGAGCCACGGGGCTCTCTGGGGACAGGGGATCGGCTCCCACTTCCTGAACGTCATCGGGGGAGTCACGGGGCTCTCTGGGGACAGGGGATCGGCTCCCACTTCCTGAACGTCATCGGGGGAGTCACGGGGCTCTCTGGGGACAGGGGATCGGCTCCCACTTCCTGAACGTCATCGGGGGAGCCACAGCCAGGGATCCTGCAGGGGACAGGTGCTTGGTGATCAGACCCCTGCCTGCAGGCAGCTGGCCCCACAGTGCCCTCATTCCAGTGCCTGGTGCTTCCCACCTGCAGGGCCCTGACCTGAGAAGCGCCCACAGGAATCAGAAGCTCCAAAGCCGAGTGGGGCCCGGCGGCCATTCTGGGAGTTTGCTCCCAGGCAACACCCACCAGGGCAGGGCCCGGGTGAGGGGGCATTTGGGGCACGCATGGGGTCTGCTTGTTGCAGGCGGGACCTGCCTGGGGGGTCTCTCAGTCTGATCGCACAAAGGCAGACGGAGCCGAGCGTGAGCACGCACAGCCCGGCACAGGGAGGTGGCACAGCTGCAGACAGTGGGAACGCTGGTCCTCCACCATGCAGGAGCGGTCAGATCCACGGCCAGCCGCCCAGGCCGGGCACACGGGGCACCTGGATGCGGGGCTAAGGGAAGGAGGGAGGAGGGAGATGGCCGGATGCCGGACACCACGCCTGGCCAGGGCAGAACGCCTGCCTACGACGGGGACCCATGCACACCCACGGGTCAGGCGGGACCCACTGACAGAGACCCGGGTAAAGGCGCAACACTCGTGTAAAACCCAAGCAGGCCTTGCCCCGACACCTGAGGCCCAAACAGACAGCTCCACCTCCAGCCACCTCTGCCCTGGGCCACCGGTTCCTGAAAGGCTCTTGGCTAGGACAGCTGGCCGGCCCCTTCCTGCCGCTCCCCCACCACCAGTGCGCGGCTTCTGAGAGCAGCTTCCGTCCCCAAGAAGCCCCTGGCTCTGCTCTCAAAGGGCAATTGTGCCCAAGCGGGAAGCAGGTGCAGACGCCATGTGTCCCTCTGGGCTGAGCAGGCACAAGCAAGACATTCTCTCTGCACTTGGCTCCCTCCCCAAGGCCCGGACCACAGGAGCAGGTGTCAGCACCCCCTGCAGACATGAGGCCCAGGCCCACCCCTGGGGACAGAGAGGGAGAGGAGGAGACTCCAGAAACCAGCTGGTCACTCCCCTTGTTGCACAGAGGGGAAACTGAGGCCCACAGAGAGGACAAGGCTGACACACACTTGGCTTGGGGCTTCCTTGCCACGGCCAGGCCCTGGGTTCCACAGAGCCTCCGTGTCCTCCATGTGGCCAGGCCCTGGGTTCCACAGAGACTCTGTGTCCTCAGGAGGTCCCTCTGTCTTGGGGGACCAGCCGTGCTCAGTGTGGCCAGGCCCTGGGTTCCACAGAGCCTCCGTGTCCTCAGTGTGACCAGTTCCCTGGGTTCCACAGAGCCTCCGTGTCCTCGGCAGGCCCCTCTGTCTCGGAGGCCAGCCCCGCTCAGTGTAGCCAGTTCAGCACATTCCAGGGGTTTGGCTTGACTGGGACAGCCATGTCCTGGACATTAACCAGTGCCCCCCGCCCTCCCTGACAGGGCCCTCCTTGGGGGTGTGGAGTCACAGAAGGGGAAACCGAGGCCCAGGGGAGATGGGACCTCCAGGAGAACCTGGCCTTCTGGTCCGTGGACCCCTGGACCGGTTGTAGGGGTCACTCTGGCTCAGCAGGGGGCCATCACAGACCACCCCCCCCACCCCCGCCAACCCCTCACAGCCCATCCTGTGTGGGTGCCCCAAGAGCCTTGAGGTCAGACCAGGCCCTCCACGCACACCCTCTGGGGTCCGCACACACCCTCTGGGGTCCACGCACACCCTCTGGGGTCCGCGCACACCCTCTGGGGTCAGCACTTCTTGTCGTGGGAAGTGTCAGGTGCAGGGTAGGAACATCTTGGCGAGGGGCATTCACATGCACCCACATAAAGTGCAGAGGCCCTTTGCACAGAATCCCGGCAGGGGGCCCTCGGCGGCTCTGACCCTCAGCCTGCACCGTGAGCGTCCTGGGCCCTGGCCAGGGCGAAGACTCCGACCACAGACCCTTCACCTGGTAGAGCGTCCCCGACCAGCCCATCTGCAGAACGACCCTGTGGGCTGGGGCCGGCCCCCTGCATTGGGCCCCTCACAACCAGTCTGTCTCCATCCCATGCCCTGAATCTGCCCCCAGGAACCCTCAGTGTCACACCCACCCTGTGGGCCAGGTAAGTGTCCCATTGGGAGATGCATGTGGGACCTCTTGCTGGAGGGGCCCTCGGAATCCCTGCAGCCCGCCCCTTGTTTGAGAGCTGAGGAGCCACCCTGGGGTTGGCAAGGAGTGGGACTCGTCCAGCACCCCCAGACAGAGGGGGCGGCCAGCTGGACAGATACCTCAGGAGCGGGTCCTGACCCCGGGCGCCCGGGTAGAGGGGTGAGGGTGCTGGGGGTGCAAAGGGCAGGGACTCACCAGCCACCTTGGGAAGGCTGCAGAGCTCATCATGGGTGGCTGCCTCGCCTGACCCAGAGCAGAGACAAGGGCCCACTGTGCGGGCAGCAGGCCAGGGAGCTGGCCACGTCTCAGGGCTACGTCAGGACCCTGGACACTCCCACGGTGGCACGGCTCCACTGAAGCCCAGAGCAGGGCCAGGGGTGCAGATGGGCACCCAGGAGCCACACAGACGCCCGGGACCAGCACAGGCTCCCCTCTGCAGGTCAAGGCACTCAACACTGGGGTGCTGAGGACACGGGGGTGCGCCCTCCAACAAGGGCTGTGCTGGGACAGGCCCAGCTGTGAGGCCGCAGTTGACCTCCCAGAGGGACACGGGTCTGCTGCTCCAGAGACGCGGCCCTGCCAGGAGGGCTCCGTGAGTGCACACTCTCCTCTGGGCTTCCCGGGTGCGGGGCCTCCCCTGGCACAGCACAGCCCCTCACAGCACAGGCCTCACTGGGCTCTAGCTCTGTATCTGTGCTCCTGGCAGGCCAGCACCCCATCGCAATGTCCTGTGCCTCTCAGGGCCCAGGGTGACCCCTCCCCAGCACAGCTGCCGTGCAGGACTCCTGCCAGTCCCATTCACGCTGGCCTGCCCCCAGCCTGTCCCCGCAGGACTCCTGCCAGTCCCATTCACGCTGGCCTGCCCCCAGCCTGTCCCCGCAGGACTCCTGCCAGTCCCTTTCACGCTGGCCTGCCCCCAGCCTGTCCCCGCAGGACTCCTGCCAGTCCCTTTCACGCTGGCCTGCCCCCAGCCTGCCATTTCAGAGGCAGCCTTGGTAACCAATGCTCAAATGACCACTGCCCAGGCCAGAATCTCAGAGGAGGCCACAGGTGCCCGGTATGTTCTGATGGGGCAGCCTCCGTGGGGGATCCCTGGGCCCTGAACACCCTCCTTTCTCACTGTCCCTCCCTCCCCTGCGAAGGGCATCCTCAGCTGCTTCTGAAACCTGGGGCGCTGTGGTGGGAAACAGGTAGGTCACGTGGTTTCCAGGCTGAGATGATAAACCTGCCGCGTCCCTCCAGGTCCTAGGGGCCTGAGGGGATTTACTGGGGGCAGCTGGGAGGGGGGCGGCGAGGAAGCAGGAGGGGTGGGCCCCAGCTCCTTCTGACTCATCTGAATGCCCCCCGTGGCCCCTCGGCCGCCAGAGCTCGTGAAGACGGTTAAGGAAAGCTTCCCCCAAGTGGCTTTCACCCCACGGGGACAGAGCCCCAGAGGTGCCTGTGGGCCCAGTGTCCTGTGCACTCACAGCCCCAGGAGGGGCGGACCCAGTCCAGGCAACTTGGCCATCGTACACATCCTCCTGCTCACAGCCGAGAATCCTGGGGCAGGGGCAGGTGGGTGGGAAGGGACAACCTCCCCACCCCTCAGAAGCCCCACCCCAGCCCAACCAGAACTGGGTGGCCCATCTCCCTTCTCGTGTCCCCCAAGTCTGGGACTGGTGGAGTCTGACCAGGGCCATCCCCTAAGTACCCAGGCTTACAGGGAAACGGGACCTCCAAGCCCCACGTCACCTTGCAAAGTCCCCTCCTGGGCCACCCTGAGACACAGGCCGGGTCTGGAGCAGGGCTGTCTGGCCAGGGTGTGCCCGCAGAGCTGGGGTGGGGGGCAGGCCTCACTCCCTCTGCTCCAGGCTTTTCAAGCCCACTGTTTTCAATCTAGAGATTTCACAGAAAAACCCGTGTTTTCAGCTTCTCTTGAAAAGTCAGATCTGCCCTCAGGTGCCACCCACTTCCCCTGGGCATCTCTGCCTGGACAAGCCACCGTCTACCCAGGGTATATGACAGCCACGGGTCCCACCAACCCCCAACTGTCACCCCATGGCCCACGGCTGCTCAGAGGTCCCTGGGCCCATCTGGGGCTCTGTCCCCGTGGGGTGAAAGCCACCCGGGGGAAGCTTTCCTTAACCGTCTTCGTGAGCTCTGGCAGCCGAGGGGCCACGCTGACCCCAGCATCACACGGAAGGCTGGGACGTGCCCCCTCCCCCAAGAGCAGTTTCGGCTACTCTGTGTCCCCCTTTTATGGGCTGCACGACGTGGCAGCATTTTAACCGCCCCTTCTCAATGCACAGCCCGGACAGGCTGTTCTCAACACTCTCTACTGCAAACTACACACAGTTTTACGTCGCCAGAAAGACCCCAAATTTCTATTCAAAAAGACCGTACCAGTTTCAGTTCCCGCCAACCTCAAAGGCAGAGACAAAAGGACGGTGTGCCCCTCCTGTAACTTCATTTCTTCGGTGACTGTGAAGCTGAGGGCAGAGTCCACGCCTGGGGACAGGGCTGCCACCGCAGCGGCCACTGCGTCCAACCCTCGCTCCTCCTCCCAGAGACGACCTGCGTTCCGCTCAGGGACAGGGCTGCCAACGCAGCGGCCACCGCACCCAACGCTCGCTCCTCCTCCCAGAGACAACCTGAGCTCTGCTCAGAAGCGGCACCTCCTCATGCTGGACTCACTCGGGCCCACATGTGCCAAGGGGGCCTGGTTTTGGGGCCGGCGGGTTCTGCCTGATGCTCAGAGGGTAACTGGATGCTGAAAACTGTGAGTCTTTCTTCAACTCAGGGGAATGTTTCCAGGGCACGCCAGGCCTCACTCACGCAGGCCTCCGCGACAACTGTTCAGCACTGACTGAGGGTGAAGTGAAATCCTGAAAGCTGAGAGCCAGCGCCCTCACACGAGGGCTGGGACGTAACAAAAGCCCATCAAGAGTTTTGCCCAGGGCTTTCTTGGGCCTTGAAGCATGACGAGACCAGGACCCGTTTAGGATTAAACAAGTTTTACTGGGGGTCTGAAAAAACTCCCCAGGCCTCCACAAACAAGTGGAGAAGGAACTCCCCAAACCTCCATGATTTAGCAGAAGACAAGATAAGGGTAAACACCTGGGCCCATTTAGATCAAGTAAATTTACTGAGTCTTCAGAGGAAGATCTTCAGGACCAGACCTCAGTTAGAGATGAGAAGAATTGAATCACGTACGTCTTTAGACGAATGCACACTGACACGGAGACACAGAGCTTAGAAGGTGTGTAAGCTCTGGAAAAACTGTAATCTGGAGTTGGTCTGGCGATCATTTCCAGGCCTTCTCCCTGTAACCAGTTACAGAAATAAAATCCCTCTTCTTCCCCAGTTCATCTGCATCTCGCTATCGGGCCTCGGGAATGAGCAACCCGACCCTGGGTTTGGTCCGGGAACGTTTTGTTCTCTGCGTGAACTGCTTTCTCATCTGTGGTCTTTTCTGTCTTCTGGGACTCCTGTTGTTGGCACGTGGGCTCCTCCCGGGCCACTTTCCCTTTACCTGGCAGGATCCTCTCCTGTGCCTTTCCTGGGCTGAGGGGGGAGGGAGGGAGGGAGGGAGGGTGGCCTGCCGAGGTCCCTGGGCTAAGAGGGGAGAGTGGCCTGCAGAGGTCCCTGGGCTGAGGGGGGAGGGAAGGTGGCCTGCAGAGGTCCCTGGGCTGAGGGGGGAGGGAGGGTGGCCTGCGGAGGTCCCTGGGCTGAGGGGGGAGGGAGGGAGGGTGGCCTGCAGAGGTCCCTGGGCTGAGGGGGGAGGGAGGGAAGGTGGCCTGCAGAGGTCCCTGGGCTGAGGGGGGAGGGAGGGTGGCCTGCGGAGGTCCCTGGGCTGAGGGGGGAGGGAGGGTGGCCTGCGGAGGTCCCTGGGCTGAGGGGGGAGGGAAGGTGGCCTGCAGAGGTCCCTGGGCTGAGGGGGGAGGGAAGGTGGCCTGCAGAGGTCCCTGGGCTGAGGGGGGAGGGAGGGTGGCCTGCGGAGGTCCCTGGGCTGAGGGGGGAGGGAGGGAGGGTGGCCTGCAGAGGTCCCTGGGCTGAGGGGGGAGGGAGGGAAGGTGGCCTGCAGAGGTCCCTGGGCTGAGGGGGGAGGGAAGGTGGCCTGCGGAGGTCCCTGGGCTGAGGGGGGAGGGAGGGTGGCCTGCGGAGGTCCCTGGGTTGAGGGGGAGGGAAGGTGGCCTGCGGAGGTCCCTGGGCTGAGGGGGGAGGGAGGGTGGCCTGCGGAGGTCCCTGGGCTGAGGGGGGAGGGAAGGTGCTCTTCCCGGGTCCCTGGCGTGAGGGGGGAGGGAAGCTGGCCTGCGGAGGTTCCTGGGCTGAGGGGGGAGGGAAGGTGGCCTGCGGAGGTCCCTGGGCTGAGGCGGGAGGGAAGGTGGCCTGCGGAGGTTCCTGGGCTGAGGGGGGAGGGAAGGTGGCCTGCGGAGGTTCCTGGGCTGAGGGGGGAGGGAGGGTGGCCTGCGGAGGTTCCTGGGCTGAGGGGGGAGGGAAGGTGGCCTGCGGAGGTCCCTGGGCTGAGGGGGGAGGGAAGGTGGCCTGCGGAGGTTCCTGGGCTGAGGGGGGAGGGAGGGTGGCCTGCGGAGGTTCCTGGGCTGAGGGGGGAGGGAGGGTGGCCTGCGGAGGTTCCTGGGCTGAGGGGGGAGGGTGGCCTGCGGAGGTTCCTGGGCTGAGGGGGGAGGGTGGCCTGCGGAGGTCCCTGGGCTGAGGGGGGAGGGAAGGTGGCCTGCGGAGGTTCCTGGGCTGAGGGGGGAGGGAAGGTGGCCTGCGGAGGTCCCTGGGCTGAGGGGGGAGGGAAGGTGGCCTGCGGAGGTCCCTGGGCTGAGGGGGGAGGGAAGGTGGCCTGCGGAGGTCCCTGGGCTGAGGGGGGAGGGAGGGTGGCCTGCGGAGGTTCCTGGGCTGAGGGGGGAGGGTGGCCTGCGGAGGTCCCTGGGCTGAGGGGGGAGGGAAGGTGGCCTGCGGAGGTTCCTGGGCTGAGGGGGGAGGGAGGGTGGCCTGCGGAGGTTCCTGGGCTGAGGGGGGAGGGTGGCCTGCGGAGGTCCCTGGGCTGAGGGGGGAGGGAAGGTGGCCTGCGGAGGTCCCTGGGCTGAGGGGGGAGGGAAGGTGGCCTGCGGAGGTTCCTGGGCTGAGGGGGGAGGGTGGCCTGCGGAGGTCCCTGGGCTGAGGGGGGAGGGAGGGTGGCCTGCAGAGGTCCCTGGGCTGAGGGGGGAGGGAGGGTGGCCTGCGGAGGTCCCTGGGCTGAGGGGGAGGGAGGGTGGCCTGCAGAGGTCCCTGGGCTGAGGGGGGAGGGAGGGTGGCCTGCGGAGGTCCCTGGGCTGAGGGGGGAGGGAAGGTGGCCTGCGGAGGTTCCCTGGGCTGAGGGGGGAGGGAAGGTGGCCTGCGGAGGTCCCTGGGCTGAGGGGGGAGGGAAGGTGGCCTGCGGAGGTTCCTGGGCTGAGGGGGGAGGGTGGCCTGCGGAGGTTCCTGGGCTGAGGGGGGAGGGTGGCCTGCGGAGGTCCCTGGGCTGAGGGGGGAGGGTGGCCTGCGGAGGTCCCTGGGCTGAGGGGGGAGGGAGGGTGGCCTGCGGAGGTCCCTGGGCTGAGGGGGGAGGGAAGGTGGCCTGCGGAGGTCCCTGGGCTGAGGGGGGAGGGAAGGTGGCCTGCGGAGGTTCCTGGGCTGAGGGGGGAGGGTGGCCTGCCTAGGTCCCTTGGGCTGAGGGGGGAGGGAGGAGGTCCCTGGGCTGAGGGGGGAGGGAAGGTGGTCTGCGGAGGTTCCTGGGCTGAGGGGGGAGGGAGGGTGGCCTGCGGAGGTTCCTGGGCTGAGGGGGGAGGGAGGGTGGCCTGCGGAGGTTCCTGGGCTGAGGGGGGAGGGAGGGTGGCCTGCGGAGGTTCCTGGGCTGAGGGGGGAGGGTGGCCTGCGGAGGTCCCTGGGCTGAGGGGGGAGGGAAGGTGGCCTGCGGAGGTTCCTGGGCTGAGGGGGGAGGGAGGGTGGCCTGCGGAGGTTCCTGGGCTGAGGGGGGAGGGTGGCCTGCGGAGGTCCCTGGGCTGAGGGGGGAGGGAGGGTGGCCTGCGGAGGTTCCTGGGCTGAGGGGGGAGGGAGGGTGGCCTGCGGAGGTTCCTGGGCTGAGGGGGGAGGGTGGCCTGCGGAGGTCCCTGGGCTGAGGGGGGAGGGAGGGTGGCCTGCGGAGGTCCCTGGGCTGAGGGGGGAGGGAGGGTGGCCTGCGGAGGTCCCTGGGCTGAGGGGGGAGGGAGGGTGGCCTGCGGAGGTCCCTGGGCTGAGGGGGGAGGGAAGGTGGCCTGCGGAGGTCCCTGGGCTGAGGGGGGAGGGAAGGTGGCCTGCGGAGGTTCCTGGGCTGAGGGGGGAGGGAAGGTGGCCTGCGGAGGTCCCTGGGCTGAGGGGGGAGGGAAGGTGGCCTGCGGAGGTCCCTGGGCTGAGGGGGGAGGGAGGGTGGCCTGCGGAGGTCCCTGGGTTGAGGGGGAGGGAAGGTGGCCTGCAGACGTCCCTGGCTGACTCTGACTCAGCAGAGCTCCTGCCATTCTTCACGGCCGACTCTCACTGAAAATTCACTCTTCCTGCAACTCCTCCAGGCTGAGCATGCTGCAGAGTAGCTGCGTTTCCTGGGTGCCCCAGGCATCGGCTGGTCCCGGCGAGTGCACCCCCTTTACCCGCTGAGCCCCTGGCAGCCAGGGATCACGTCCTGCCAGGCAGGGAGGCTCTGTCCCTCCCTGTGAATGACAAAGAGGGGTACCCACAGCTGCCCTCTGGCACCACACCCAACACGGTCTCCAAGGCAACCAAGGGTGTGTGTACCCCCAACCACTCCAGCCTCCTTTGGCAAGTGAGACTCCTCTCCTTCACGAGGCATCAGGGGCTGACCAGCAGGGGTCGTGGAGCTGAGCTCGACCTGGGCTCCGGCTAGAACCCTGGTCTTGTGAGCAGTTGTGCCATCTCTCTGTAGAAAACATCCTTCCATCAGAACCAAACCTCCTGCAGCGAAAGCTGTGGAGCTGTTCGGGAGCGGCTGAGCCCTGGCCCCTGCCCCGCTCCCGGGCCGGTCTTTGTGGCACTGCCTGTGCCTGCACCTGTCTCTGGGACCAGCACCTCGTCGCCAGGGCCGGGAAATTCAGGGGAACCACTCTGAGTTCCTCCGAGGATCCACAGCCCCAGTGCCCAGGACCCTGGGGAGTCCCGGGGCTCACAGGCACGCGCATCCTGCCGGGCAGGTGCTGCCCTGTGGTCCAGCATCCCCCACTCCCCACCCTCGTGTTCAGTTCTAAACAGAGACACAGCCTCGGAAGGGGGGCGGGTGGCTGCCGCCTGGGCTCAGGGCCTTCTCTGGGAGGGATCTGCGCGGATTGCGGGGGGTGCTCTTCACTGGGGTCTCCGCCCTCTTCATTTTAGAGCCGTGGCCGGCGGGCCTGGGTTTCCCAACGCCCCAGAAGCCCTGCAAGGATCCCCGGCCTCCCCGGTGACGGCGGAGAGAGGAGCTGGTGTCCGCAGGAGGCCTCGTCCCCGGCCCGGCCCCTCTACGCCCCCAGGAACGGGATGTTCTTGAGGGGCTTCTCCGGGAACTGCAGGGCGTACAGGCGGGCCATGTACTGGAGCTCAGGCATCACAAGCCTCTGGCACACGCCCAGCGTCTGGTTGTCCAGGCCCGGCCGGAGGTTGTAACCCAGGATGTCGGCCTTGCCGGACTGGTAGGGGCGCAGGCGCGGGTCTCTGATCTGCGTGTGGTTCTTGAGCGCGCCGCCGTCCTGCAGGCACAGGCTCGCGAGTTCGCGCCTCCGGGCGCGCAGCCGCTCCACCTCCCCGCGCAGCCGCCGCGGCCCCAGCTCGGCGCGCAGCTGCGCCCAGAGGGTGCGGTTGAAATGCTCGTACAGGCGCCAGTCCAGCGCGCACCAGCTCCGCGCGCGCTCCCGGGTCTCGGGCGACAGGCGGGCCACGGAGCGCGCGCTGCGGGAGTTGAGCCTGAAGGCCACCACGTCGTCCAGCGCCCAGCGCAGCCGGCGCCGCAGCAGCACCAGGGACTCGTCCAGGTGCTCGGCGATGAGCACCAGCCGGAAGCGCCGCTCCACCTCGGCGATGCGCGCGCGCACGTAGCCCTCCTCGCACTGCGCGTTGGGGTCGAAGCCGAAGTCGAACCACATGTTGTTCTTGGCGTAGACGTTCCTGAGGTGGCGGCTGTCGTTGTAGAACGTCCGCGGCGAGGCCAGGAACGCGTCCAGGCTCGGGGCGCCCCGGAAGGCGGGGGCGTAGGTTTTGTAGTAGATGAAGGAGGACTCCAGCTGGAACACGGGGTTCCTCAGGATGGAGAAGTAGAAGGTGTCGTTGGGCATGACTTTCTGCACCTGTGTGGCGACAGAGAGGCGGGCTGCGGACCGCGGGCCCAGGCCAGGGTGGCCCACCCGCGGGGAGGAGGCGCGCCCTGGCCACACCCGCTCAAGGAGCACCCCCATCCTCACATCTGCCGAGGAACCTGGGCCTGGCGCCTTCTCGTGCGGCAGCTCCGGGAGCAGAGCCAGGGCCACACGCAGGCCCTGCAGCCCAGTCACTGGTTCCCGGGTGCCCAGAACAGAGGCCAAGGACGCCAGGAAGGGGCCTCAGGAGGAGGAGTCCGTGGGCAGAGCAGGAGGAGGGAGGAGGAGCTCCCACTGGCATCTCGAGGAGACCCAGAGGCCTCTAGGAGTGGGATGCTGTGGCGCACAGACAGCACGAAGGGCCCTCCACGGGCCCCTGGCACAGGGGGCTTCAGCACTCCACCAGCTGCCCACAGGCCAGGGTGACACCCACCTAACAGACAAAGAAACTGAGGCCCAGAGAAGGTCCGTGACCCAGGTTCCCCACAGGGTGGGTCTGGACTCACCCTCGCTTGTGCCCCCTCAGAGGTCCTGGAGGATATACCCCACCCACAGAAAGTAAAGTCTTGCAGAAAGTCACGCCCAACTACACCGCCTGCTTCTCCATCCTCAGAAACCCAGGGAGAGAACAGTGGGAGGCCTCCTCCCTGCCCCCACCCTCTTCCTTTCCCCTCCTCCCGGCCCCTCCTCCTCCCTCTGCCCCGCAGCCCCCACCCCACAGCACACCCCCGCTGCCCCGCTCTCTGCCCATCACCTCTCCCCACCCGGCCTCCCTCTGGCCCCGCCTGGTCACCTAGCCTCTGCTGGCCATTCTCCACAGAGCGCTCAGGGTGACCCTAAAACACCTGTGCCTGCCCACAGCCCTCCCACCCACACTCCCTGCCCTGCTTCCTTTGTAAGGAAGGTCAGGGAAGCCCTGGGGGGAAGCCGGCTCTATGCTGAGACCCAAGGGACCCAAAGAAGGGCCTGCAGCCACAGAAGCGAAGGTCACAGGGTGGGGAGAGCCGGGCCTGTGCACAACTAGGAGGCCAGAGAAGCGGGGGAGCGCTGGGGACGCCCTTGGGCAGGGGCTGTGGGGCTCCCAGGTCTCATTCCAAGAGCAACGGCAGGCGACTGGCCGCCTGGAGGGGCAGGGGTTGGCTCAGCAGGGCGTGCGGCCCAGGCCCTCCCAACCCGCCTTCTGCACGCCCCGCCCCCAAGCCTTACACTCCTTCTCTCCAGCCTCCAGGCTACACCACCCAGACCCACAGCCACAGGCACGGCTGCAGCCCGCCCTCCTCCCCAGCAGGCCCGCGGTACCTGAGGCAGGTTGAACCTCAGGTGGTTGCACATGATGTTGAAGCGCTGCTGCGACCCCACGCCTTCCACGTAGCGCGCCAGGAAGAGCCAGGGGTAGCCCAGGTGGACGCGTGAGCCGGCGGGCAGCGCCACGGACAGGTTGTGGGTCTCGGCGAAGCGGTAGAGGATGTTGAGCACCGTGCTGCTGGCCGTCTTGTGCGTCTTCAGGAACATGATGTTGGTGACCGGCGGCCCCTCAGCCTGGCCCCCAAACAGGCTGGGAGGGAAGGCACACGCAGCCTTCAGCAAGGGTGCAGATGCCCCAACCCCCGCCCAACAGCGACCCCCAGCCCGGCAACCGCAAGGAGAGACCTCCCAACCTGAGCCCCCCAACTCTAGGCCAGGGGGCCAACTGGGTAGGCACCGACCCATGGCCCCAATCCTTGCCCCACTCCACAACCTCCCAGCTGGTGGCCCGAACACAAACTCCCCCAACTGTCTCCCGTAACCATGCTCCCCCAACCCTGTGCCCCCGAGAACTAAAAATAAAACCCTAAATGAACCCCATCTTGGCCAAGGGGACCCCAGACCCACCTTAAAACTGAGTTCCCAGCAGTGATGGGATGGGAGGTAGACGCCTCGTCACACCCCCTCCCCTTTGCGGTTTAGACCCAGCAGCTGCCGGGTGTGAATGTTACATAGAGACCGTAAAGAAAATGTGGCACATCTACACCACGGAATACTGTGCAGCCATAAAAAAGAATGAGTTCATGTCCTTTGCAGGGACATGGATGAAGCTGGAAACCATCATCCTCAGCAGACTAACAAAGGAACAGAAAACCAAACACCGCATGTTCTCACTCATAAGTGGGACTTGAACAATGAGAACACGTGGACACAGAGAGGGGAACAGCGCATCCCAGGGCCTGTCGGGGATGGGGTGTAAGGGGAAGGAAAGCATTAGGACAAATACCTAATGCATGCGGGGCTTGAAACCTAGATGACGGGCTAATAGGTGCAGTAAACTACCGTGGCACGTGTATACCTGTGTAACAAACCTGCACGTTCTGCACGTGTGTCCCAGAACTTAAAGTAAATTTTTTAAAAATTAAAAAATAAAAGGAGACCATGGCCCAGCAGAACTGACTGTGGCCATAAGACGCTACATTATCAACGGGACCTGAGGCCATGCCGGGCAGGGGCGAAGTCACACACGCTGCACTTATTTATGTTCTACCTGCCACGGGAGTTTTCTTTTTCTCTGACACCCAAACGCTGGCCTTGAGACGAACAACGTTAAAGCAGGTGCAGCTCACCCGCTGCCAGACGCTGCCTCGCTGACCCCTGCTCCCCCAGCCAGAACCACAGCTGCCATCGGACAAGAGCCGCATTTCAGTAACTGTCCCCTGAGCAGGGACCCCCAGCCCCGGACTGGTTCTGGCGGTTTACAGAGGCTGCGCACCGAGTGCTTCCCGTCCCGGCTCCACCTTCTGACGTGCAGGGCCTGATTGTAACGCAGTTAGATGTGCAGTCTCCACCCCAAGGTGAACGTGGGTCACAAGTAAGTAACACACCTGTTTGTTCAGGACACGTGCGTCAGGACCCCCTTCATGAATATCCACAGCTCCTCCCGTCACCTGCTGAACGTGTACTTGGCCAAGCCGTTCAGCGTAAGCCCCTGTCCCACCCCCTCCCTCGAAGTGCCCGCTCCCAGCCTGGGTCGGCGGCTGTGCTCCCAGCCTGGGTCGGCGGCTGTGCTCCCAGCCTGTGGGATGTCCACACTTTTTAAGAAACAAAGTGTCCTCTCCACATTCATAGATGTCATGATTCTTCAGTTGACACCCCCAACCCTGGAACCCCCACCAGACCCATCACTGCACCCCAACCTAGAGACCCTCAGCCCCAGCCTCAGGGCCCCACGGAGACAGTGTCCTCAGACCCATCCCTGTTTCCCTCGGGGGCTACACACTCTGGCCCACACATCACCCCAGCCTTCTCCCTGGTGCCCAGGCACGCACATGCAGCTGGCTTTGTGACCTCAGCCACACGTGCAGTGCTTCTTGTCCCTTCACACCAGGAAAAGGAAGGACCCCAAAGCCGAGACCAGCGGCCAGATGTAGGGCTGGGCCCACTCCTAGAATCCCATCATGACACCCACCCAGTGGGGCTGGAGTAGCAGGCGCCCTCCCTGCCCCAGAACAGGGCCAGCAGAAGTGACCAGGATGGTGGGGTCAGGGTACCCAGGCCTGGCCAGCCTGGGTGATGGGGGTGAGCAAAGACAGGGTCCTTGGCACCTGTCTCTGGCAGCTCGGCCCAGAGGGATTGGTGCTTCCTCTGTCTCCTCCAACCAGAGGGGCTGGGGAGTGGCGGGGCCTGGAAGACCCTTCCAGCAGCCTGGCTAAAGCCCTGTCTGGAGGCACAGCTGGGCTGCGAGGTGAGCACAGGTGGGCACCTCCATGCAGCAGGGGCTCCACAGAGGATGTGCCACAGGCAGGCAGGGGAGAGGGTCCCAGGTGGGCCCATGGCTGCAAGGTCTGTCCTGAGCACGGTTCTGACCTTTTCCTTCCCAGATCCAGCCCAGGCCCACAGGCCACCTCTGTTGTGGGGAGCAAGAAGGAGGCCTCCAGCCCTGCCTCCCACACACAGGGACCCTCTGCACACACTGGGTCTGTCCCCAAACCCAGACCCGGCCCCTGCTCCCCAGAGCCCTCCCCAAAGGCCCAGGTGGGTTTGTGGCTAACAGGAGACTCTCAGGGTCCCCCCAAGGAAGGGCCCATCCACCCCTCCTCTTCCAGAGGGAGACAGGCCCAGTGGGGGGCGTGATCATGCTGGGGTCCCAGGCTCTGTCCTCGGGGCTGTTAGGAGGTACCCGGGGCAGGACTTATGGTGGGGGCAGGACTTACGGTGTGTCCAGCTCTAAGTCCGAGTGCAGGAATCCGGCCAGCAGGAGCAGAGTCAGGGCCAGGAGGAGGAGGAGGATGACCCGGAAGTATCTGTGGAAAGGGCAGGCCATGAGTGCCCAGTCCGGGTCGTGCCAGCCCCACCCCCACCTCCCATCCTGCAGCCAAGTCCAGGCCTTGGGCCACACAGGTCTGGGCCTCCCCTCACCTCTGTAACGTCTTGTCCTCAAACCCACTGGGTGCCGGCCCATGGGCTAGGGAGTCTCAACCCAGGACAGGCCTGAATCTGACCCCATCCCGACCACCCCTGAATGGCTTAGGGCCGGAAAGAGCCTAGTGGATGAGCCATCCCTTTCCCTGGGGTTCGGGAGCTGACAGGGCCGCGCTCCTGGGACCAGAGGTGGGAACAGGTCAGGGGACCTCTACCCACGCAGGGCCCCCTGGGAGACTGTATGGGACGGAGACCCCCAGGCCCCCAGGGGATCTGGAGAGGCTGAGAGTTTGGTGCAATGGACTGTGCGCCCCCAAAATCCACAGGCCAAACCCCTAACACACAGCGTGATGGTGCCTGGAGGTGGGGCCTCTGGGAGGTGTTAGGGTTGGATGAGGTTTGAGGGCGGGTGGAGTCCCTGTAATGGGATTCGTGTCCTTCTAAGACAAGGAAGAGACCAGAGTGCAGCTTCCACTCCCCACCCTCGCTCCCCATATAGGGGCACAGAGAGAAAGTGGCATCTGCAGGCCAGGAGGAGGGCCCTCCCCAGGAACCCGCCATGCTGGCTCGAGATCGCATGCCTTCCGGCCTCCAGAACGGTGAGAAGCACATGTCTGCTGCTGGGGCCAGCCTGTCTGTGGTGTCTGTTGTGACAGCCCGGGGTGACTGAGCCTGGAGGAAGCATGATGTCTCCAAACAGAGAGGCGGGGCCCACATGAGGAGGCCTGAGGAGGCCTGGCCTGGGTCCCAGGAGCCTAGCATAGCAGGTGCAGCCAGATCAGGGAAGAGCAGATCTGGGTAAGGCCTGACCGTGGAGTCGGGCGGGGAGCCAGGGTCCCCCATCCTCTGGGCAAAGCCCCCCATCAGTACAGAGCAGCCAAGGGGCCCCTCAGTGATGGGGTGGGGCTACCACGTGGGCTGTGTCCCCTCAGTGATGGGGGGTTGCCACGTGGGCCGTAGCGTCTCAGTGCAGGTCAGGCACAGGCTACGAGGGAACCAGACACCACACCTGCACTCGGCAAGCTCAGCATCTGGAGAGGACACAAGGGGTGAGCTTCCTGCTTGGACTGGGGCCTTTGCATGGGGCTTTACAGGGTACATAGGAGCACAACAAGCCAGTGGGGAAGGAGGAATTGTAACCAAGGCAAAGCGGGCCAGGGGGCTGGGGGTGCTAGAACAGCAGGGAGGCAGGACCCAGGCCCAGTGCAACGTCACTCTTCACCCTCCCGGGACGTGGAACTGGGTTAGGATCAGCCCCGCTGCTCAGTGGTCACACGACCATTCCTGCGCTGCCATGGGAGCAGCGGGGAGGGCTGGGCTGGCTCTGCCATGGGAGCAGCGGGGAGGGCTGGGCTGGCTCTGCCCGGCCCCACTGGCCCCTGCCCAGGAAGAGTTCCTGAGCAGCAGGTCCTCACTCCCACACGCTGGCCCGGCACTCCTCTCCTTTTGGAGAAAGGAGATGATTTTTGCATAAAACAATCTTGAATTTTAGCATAATCCCGAAGAAGAGAATTTTTAACTAAGAAGTCACTTCTAAAGTTCAAATGGACAAAAAACATATAGTGATGGCCAGAAAAATTCTAAACAGTCACGATAACGAACATCGGCTCTCCCAGATCTGCTCCATGGATCAGAATCAGTTCCACATGGGGTCAAAGATTTAATGTAAAAAAATAAAACCACTGAAGTCAGAGGATAAAGGAGAATGAGGCTGCCGTCTAAGCAAGACACAAAACCAAGAGGGTATGAAGAAAAGAAAGACAAATCTGGCAAACACGTAATGTTTCAGGCCAGGCGCGGCAGCTCACGCCTGTGACCCTAACATTTTGGGAGGCGGAAGTGGGAGAATTGCTTGAGCCTAGGAGTTTGAGGCCAGCCTGGGCAATACAGTGAGACCCCATCTCTACATTCTTAAAACATTGCTGTCAGAGTGTTTCAAGGATGGCTGCGCCAGGGCGGCCAGGTGCATGCTAACAGCAAACGGGGCAGCCCTCAGGGCCTCAAGCCCCCCGCAGTCCCCTCACCCTGCATGGGACCTCAAGGCACCCCTGGGGCTGTGGCCACAGCAGTGAGCTGGCTCTGGTCAAAGTGCCTGCCCCACCCAGCCACTAGCTGACCCCACGTGGGGCCAGCTCAGGGCTGCCAACAGCCCAGCCCCCCACGGGAACCACCCAGTAACCATCTACCCCGGGCGCTCAGCTACTGGTCAGGACCACTCTGTCTCCCCCGACCCCAGCCGATGGCCCTGCTCTGTGCCTCCCTTTCAGACAAGACCAGAGCCGGCCCTGCTCCCCCCGGCCATCAGGGAGAGAACAGTGGGATGTGGGGACATGGGTGTAGCAGGCTTCACCTATGACAGCAGAATAAATAACTTCAGATGAAACAAATCTGTCTTCTGCAGAAGCCGCTCACCACAGAAATGGGGTGACGACTCAGTTCCCATGACTGAGCAGAGCCCTGATACGTGACGACCATCAGCTCCGTGGCCGGCCCAGGGAGGGCTCCTGCCCTGGTCCTCGATGGCTTCCCTGCTGACCAGGGTGCTCCGAGCCTGCTTTGTACGTCTCCTGGCCCAGGTCTGGAGTCAACCATGTCTCCAAGGAGCTCTGGGTCCCGCTGGTAGGAAGTGGTCTTTAGGGACCACACTCGGGGTGCTGGGGTGCTCACTGCCCTGAGAAGGTCATATGTCTGGGCCTTCTCCGTAGTCAGAGCTCAGAGCTACACATACAGAGACGGAACCCCTCATGAGTCCACACCGGAACCCCCAGCTCCAAGACTGCGTCTTTCAACAGAACCTCTTCGTATGACATCTTGTCTCCTTTCTTCCACACCAAGGGTGTGGGTCTCGAAGACACTGGGGATGGTAGAACTAGGACCTCCCAAAATTTCTCACACTTCATCCTCACGGCACACGCGGCACCTCAGACTCCAATGCCAGTGCCACCACAGCCACGCTTCTAGGAGACGGGACAGGAGCTTCCAGGCCCTCCCTTCACCTGCACTCTACAATTCTTCAATGCACCCCTCCAGTCCTTACGTCAAAATGGAACCACCTTGAAGAGGCTCCCAGCGGCCAAGGCCCAGTAAACACTAGAATTCCCAGGCACAGAGAGGAGAGCGAGAGGGGCCGCAGAGCAGAGAGGGCCATGCGCCCCACGCGGGATCAGGGTCCCGCTGGAGACACCCACGTCTTCGTGAGAGAGGACATGTTTTCCCAAACCCAAACGAGGCCCCACACTGAGAGCGGAGCTCCTGCTCTGCCATTGGGCCACTTCTGCGGACTTCCCAAGACCCTCCCCGGGAGAGTGGCTGCACGAGGTGGGAAGGGCAGTTTTACGGCTCCGCACAGTTAGAGATTAACTCACTGATAAGGCCCACGCAGGACTTCACCAGCAGGGTTTCTCAGCCACCACCCTTGGCCATCACTTCGTTCCGCCATAGTCAACTCCTTCCTCAAACACCCTGCACCTTTATGGCCCCTCACTCTGCACTTTTATAGCCCCTCTGCACTTTTATGGGACGCACTGGCCATCTGTTTGAGATGCTGCTTTCACACTTACAATACCCCCCTTGGCCTTGCGGCAGCATGAATCTGTCTCTGTTCTTTGCAACTGCCCAATTAAAACAATGACGTTTCCAGAGAAATGCTACAGCCTTCTCAAGGCGGGCTCTTCCCTTTTGCCAAAAGACCTGCTGGTCCCACACCTGCAGGGGTCAGGTAGGGTGGTCAGTGTTGGAGCAACCGGGAAGGGGGTGACCTGGGGACCCAGGAGGTGAGCCCAGCCACAGGTGCCCGTGACCGACCCAGAGCACCGTGGGGCAGTAAATGGGTGATGTGTTCCACCAAGCAGAGAGATGGTGTTTCTGTCCTTACACGCAGGAGTTACACATTGTTACACATTCTTTAAGGAGAGCCTGTGGCTGCACTACTGGGAATTTACTAGAAACCAGCGAATTGTGCACTCTAATTGGGTAAATTCTTTAGTGTGTGAATTGCATCTCAATAAGGCTGTTAAAAAAATAAAAAATCAATTAAAAATGTTCAAGAGTTCAGCTGCTAAAAACCTTGAAAGCTGACGATTGTGGAGGGAAAATGAAATATTGCCAAAAATTATAAACCATTTGACATTGCTTTCAAGTGCCCTTAGCTTTTAGGAGCTCCCTGAAGTCCCCAAAGACCCTCCCCTCAAGCTAAAGCTGCCTTATGGGACTCACAACCGTGGGGACTGCGGCCAGGCCCTGCTGCCTTTGCTCTGGGGGTTGCCAGAGTAGCTCAGTCGTTCCCAAAGAGCCTCAAACTTCCTGCTGTTGGAGCCTCGGGACTTGGAGGCCACTGACCTGCTGCCTCACTGGGAGCGCCCAGAAGGTCTGGCTTTCCAGCTCTGGGCAGGTTGGTGGGGCTGATGGTTCCTGATCAGGCAGGGCCATCAGGGGCCACAGTGCACCAGCCCCAGACAAATGGCCCCAGCAAGTCGCTGAGGCTCCCCAAAAGAAAGAGAAGAGAGGCCTGGGAGGCACTGGCCCAGTTCCAGTGGGGACAGAGGGGACAGCTTGAGGCACCAGGCCTCGGCCCTGCAAGCACAACCCGGTGAGCTGTGAGCGCCTGCAGGACAGCAGTTCCCAGGGCATTCGGGGAGAATTCTGCAACTTCTCAGTAAGAACCCACAAAATATCTAAAATGAGGGGTAATAAAAGTCTTGGCCAGGTGTGGTGGCTCACACCTGTGATCCCAGCACTTCGGGAGGCTGAGGTGAGAAGATCAATTGAGTCAAGGAGTTCAAGACCAGCCTAGGTGGTATAGTGAGACCCCCATCTCTACGAAAAATACAAAAATTAGCCAGGTGTGATGGCTCCGGACTGTGGTCCCAGCTACTTAAGAGGCTGATGCAGGAGGATCACCTGAGCCAGGGAGGTCGAGGCTGCAGTGAGCCTTGATCTCACCACCACACTCTAGCCCGGGTCACAGAGCCAGTCTCTGTCTCAAAAAATAAACAAACAACAACAACAAAACCGACTTAAGACATCCCATCTCCAGCTCAGGGAACTTCTGGTTTTAGAAACCTTGTTGACTATGAGGAAGACTCATGCAAATTCTTATGGCGATGGTTTTTTACACTCCAGGATTAAACACACACACAAACATACACACACAATACACACACACACAAATAATACACACTACACATACACAATACACACACACATACATATACACACATACACACATGCATACACAATACGTACATACACATATACACACACATACACAATATGTGCATACACACACATATGCATACACAATATGTACACACAAACACAATATGTACACACACAATACACACACATATACACATATACATACATACACATATACGCACACATATACACATACATACATATACACACATACATATAAACACAATACACACATACATATACACACACATACACAATATGTACATATAATACACATGCATACACATACACACGCATACACAGTACATACATACACGTACACAATATACACACGTACATGTATACATACATATACACACACATGCATACACAATACATACATACACACACAATACACACACATACATACAGATACATACACATACACACACACGGACACACACATCCCCCTGCGGTTCCTTCTGACCAGCTCGCTGGACATGGATGAACTTTATGGCAAAATAAACTTTCTAAATTAACTGAGACCTGTCTCAGATTTGGGAGGTTCATAGGTTTCAGTTAATTTAGAAAGCTTACTTTGCCAAGGGTGAGGACGCGCACCCATGACCCAGCCTCAGGAGGTCCTGATGACGTGTGCCCAAGGTGGTCAGGGCACAGTCTGGCTTTATACATTGTAGGGAGACATGAGACATCAGTCCGCATATGCAGGACGAACATTGGTTCGGTCTGGAGAGGCAGGATGGCTCGAAGCAAAGGCAGGAAGACTCCAAGTGGGGAGGGGACTTCCAGGTCACAGGCAGGTAAGAGACAAATGGTTGCATTCTTTTGAGTTTCTGATGAGCCTCTCCAAAGGAGGCAGTCAGATACACATTTATCTCAGTGAGCAGAGGGGAGACTTTGAATACAATGGGGGGCAGGTTTGCCCTGAGCAGTTCCCAGCTAGACTCCTCCCTTTAGCTTATAGTGATCTGGGGGCTCAAGATCTTTTCCTTTCACATTTCCCCCCGTTTTCTCTTTAAAATCTTGGAGAAAGCTCTCCAAGATTTTAGAAGAAAATGAGTCTCTGGTCCCAGGTTTCATCTGATCTCTCATGGCTAGGATGGTTTATTCCTAGATGGGCAGGTCCTAAGTTATTAGGAAAGCTCATTTTTAGCAGGTTGTGAAGTCTCATGTCCTAGAAGAGAAAATAGGGGGAGGAAGAAAGAAAACAACAACAAACCAAAGAATAATCCTGCAAAAATCGATATAGGCCACATAACTTTAAAGTCCATACATTGGTAGGCCATGAAAGTGGCTTATGTATGAAAATAGGTTGCTGTTATTTTCTTCTGAAGTTTAAGTTGTCTGGCTTCAGTTTGCAGGGCTTTAAGAAAGCACAGCTTAGATTTTAGTGACTCCAAATTAGGAAAAATAAGGGGGGCGGGTGGGTGCAGTGGTTCATGTCTGTAATCCCAGCACTTTGGGAGGCTGAGGCAGGTGGATCACCTGAGTTCAGGAGTTTGAGACCAGCCTGACCAACATAGTGAAACCCCATCTTTACTAAATAATAATAATAATAACAATACAAAAATTAGCTGGGCAGGGTAGCAGGTGCCTGTAATCCCAGCTACTAGGGAGGCTGAGGGAGGAGAATTGCTTGAACCCAGGAGGCAGAGGTTGCAGTGAGCCGAGATCATGCCACTGCACTCCAGCCTGGGCGACAAGAGCAAAACTCCATCTCAGAAAAAAAAAAAAAAGAAAGAAAGAAAAGAAAAGAAAACAGAAAAATGGGGGGTGGGGCAAACAAATGAAAAAAATTGCAAACATTATTTTGAAGACTTGTAGCCAAGGAAAATCAGAATTTGGTCCAAACTGTAGAAAATAATAAAACTTGAAAACATTAGGCAAGACTGGAATCTAAAAATAGGTGTACCATAGTATTGAAACATAAT
The DNA here is from genome assembly GCF_000001405.40 of Homo sapiens. NCBI lineage: Eukaryota > Metazoa > Chordata > Mammalia > Primates > Hominidae > Homo > Homo sapiens. The sequence continues at coordinate 3,917 of NT_187527.1, read as the reverse complement.
TTTTCTCTCTCCAGTTTCCCATTTTCACTAAAGACAAATCATGGTAAGACTGGTTTGCTTTATTATACTTGGCCTAATTATTTGTATACAGTGCAGCAAGAATAATTACTTTTTACATAGGCTTTTAAATTGGCTTTGATGGAACATTGCTCCATAGGAGGAATCTCAGATAAGACTTTTTTAAAGCCGAGCCCAGCCACGAATTTGTGCCATCAAATACCTATGAGTTGAGTCATCCTCATCGCTTGAGGTTCCAGGATAAACCTGGGGCTCCTGGACCTGTCAGAAAGTGATATTCTTTTCTTGCCACAGGTCAGGAACCCTGTACAGGGACTCTGTAGACAAAGGTATGAGGCCAGTTTTTCCAAGGGGCTTTCATTGGCTCCATAAGTCAAGTTTGATTCCTTAAATGAAAGCTCACCATTCCAGTCAAAGCCTTAGTACATTGGAGTAACCAGTTTCTCCAATTGTGTCCTGCTGCAAAATGAAAACAAATTCTTATTGCACTTATACAAATAACTGTACTCCCATAAATTAAAAATACTCACAAATAGTTTCCAAATTCTGGGGAAACCAGGTAGAGAGTGTCGACAAAAAGAGTCAAATTGTAAAATAATTGCAGAGATCTATTCTGAGCCAAAATGAGTGACCATGGCCCATGACACAGCCCTCAGGAGGTCCTCAGAACATGTGCCCAAGTTGGTAGGGGTACAGCTTGGTTTAAAACATTTTTAGGGAGACATGAGACATCAATCAAATACATTTAAGAAATACATTGTTTTGATTGAGAAAGGTGGGACAAATCAAAGCAGGGGCTTCCAGACTACAGGGAAATTTAAACATTTTCTGGATGACAATTGGTTGAGTTTATCTGAAGACCTGGGATCAATAGTAAGGAATGCTCAGGTTAAGGTAAAGGATTGTGGAGACCAAGTTTTATTGTGCAGAGAGGGAGCTCTCAGATAGCAGACTTCAAAGAGAGAGCAGGTTGTAAAATGTTTCTCATCAGACCTAAAAGGGTGCCTGGCTCTTAATTGATTATCTCCTGGATCTGAGAAGAAAGGAAAACAAAGGAGAAAGGTGATTCTCTATAGAATGTGGATTTTTCCCACAAGAGACGTTGTAGGGCAATTTCAAGGTATGACAAGGAAATATATTTTGGGGTAAAACATTGTTATTTTCTTCCTTGTTATGCCAGACTCAGATTGGAAAGTAAATCATGATATACAGGGTCAAATAAAAGCCATCTGATGAGAATTTATGGTTTGTAGGACACGACTCCCCAGACCTCTTAGATAGGAATTTGGGCAAGATACAAAATCAGAGCTTAGTCCTTAAGAGAAACAAATATACCCCAAATTTTGTTCATAGGAGTATACTGAATTGTAAAAAGCTGTCAATAGCTCAAAAGAAAAGTTTTCTCAGCTCTGAAAAATACAAAAGAAAGAATCAGCAACATTTAAAGCAAAGGTCAAAAAGATTCTTTAGTCTTCTATCAGTTCAGTTTACACAGTTAACTCCTGTTCTGCTTGATATTCATGAACATTTCTGCTCTCCATGAGAGTCTGGAAAGTTTCTTTCTCTATTCTAATGCCACAATCCCCAAAGTTATCAGAATCCTATATGTAAGAACACCTGTTAGAGTTCTATAGCTGATTACAAAACCACTTTCTAAGGAGGACCAAAACAAGACAACAAATGTCCGTGGATGACAAAAAGTTTTAGGGCAACCATAGTCAAAGACACAATTGACAAGGAAATTTGTTTCCTCTGTGGCATACAATAACTTAACATAACAATTATAATTGTTATTGATAAAGCATACTAAGTTATATCAGAATTATAGGAGTTTTCCATAACATATGTTATAACTCAGTCTCTCATTTACCTATGAAATCTAAATACATAGACATATTAGGCATGCTGATAGAAGTACATTTTTTCTTTCTTTTTTTTTTGAGATGGAGTCTCACTGTTATCAGCCCAGGCTGGAGTACAGTGGCACAATCTCGGCACACTGAAACCTCTGCCTCCCGGGTTCCAACAATTCTCCTGCCTCAGCCTCCCAGGTAGCTGAGATTACAGGCGCCCACCACCATGCCCCGGGACGGGGCTTCACCACATTGGCCAGGCTGGTCTTGAACTCCTAACCTCATGTGATCCACCCTCCTTGGCTTCCCAAAGTGCTGGGATTATAGGCGTGAGCCACCACACCCAGCCAGAAGTACATGTTATAGATCCATAAAGACCATATTTTTTTCCCTATCTTAGACTTTCAAATTCTTGATAATCTGTTTCACAACCCTAAGGCAATTGTCAGCTAAATAGTCTTAAATTTGCATATTAAAGGAAATAACTCAGGTGAAAATCAAATAGCAAAATTTACATAGTAAGGTACGAAGAGAAAGTCTGGTGAGCTAGAGGGAAACTAAAGCAGATTTAATTGCCAATTGAACATAAAATTATATAAGTCTATTATAAGGGCCTTCAACTATACACACACACAGACATATACATCACACATACACACACACAAAGATTCTATAGCTTTTACTTCAGTACTTTAGCCATGAGATAAATATAAGTTCACTGGCTTGCAAAAAAAGACCTGCTAGATCGAAACAGTGGTTTTTATCTCACTAGAAAGGTAACAGCAGATTTAAAGCAGGCAGAAAAGAAAATGGGGAAAAGGGGACGTAAGAACTCTATTGGTTTGGGGTCGACGTTAGGGCTCTTTTTTCCTTAATGTAAATGTGCACAAAGACTGTCTTACTTCCATTTTACTCTGGCAAGTAGATGTGCCTTAAACCCTACAGAGTGCTCAAAAGGGGATCATTCTCTGTGTTTTCTCCTCATTCTTGGATTATTTGTTTCCCACTTTTTTTTTTCTTAAAAGGAGGAACTGAGCTGTGGCCTAGGTTTTTGTGTAGTGGATTGATGTGTGCTGCTTGTGGGCAGGACTCCACAGTGTGTCACCACTGAGTCACTTCTGCCCTCTTATGAGTCTCAGTTTCTCTCTCCAGAGGTCTATGACCTCAGAGAGGGCTCAAAACGCTGGGTGATCAGCCTTTACATGCGTTTCCTGGATGAACTATTTTTAAATTAACTTTTGAGGGGATTTCCCTGAAGGGCTGCTGCATGTCACAGCAGGGGTCAACCCCCTAGACACTCCCACGAGGCCCCCTGGTCACCCAGGGGCACCTTTGGCTGGGAGAAGCAGATACCTTTTCTCTTTGGAGCTGAAAAACTCAGTCTCTCATTTACCTATGAAAACAACAGTTCAGTTCAGTTCCTCGCACAAATGCACACAGACAAACCAAACTGAGATTAATGTTGGGAGAAAAGCAATAAAGAAGACCCTTTAGAATGCATCTTCAAACTAGAATTAGGATCCTTAAACAACAACCTCCTAGGAGAGAAAAGAAAAAAAAAATACAGCCAAGACCACTTCCTGTAAACTGTATTCAGCCACCCATAACTTTGTAGCTCTCATCTGCCATTATACACGCCGAGGTCAAATCCTCTCACAGTGCAAGGTCATCTATGGTACCCCCCAAAGCCAAAGAGGTCAGGTAATGCAATACAGGAAAACAGAGCTTTAGACCTAAGAAGAACCTGCCCATGACTCTTGAAACTCCACAATGAAGACAGAACACCCCAAAAGCGGTGAGTGGTGCCCTTGTTCTGAATTATTTAAAGGGGTTCAAGTCATTAGAAGCCTTCTCTAGAGTCCTTGGTACTGGAGATGGCAAAGGGGGAAGGAGGTATGGGGTGGAAGAAAAGTAAATGAAGGGACAATTGCTTTTTTAAGACAGAAAGCAAACACGTGGTTTTATGTTTGATCGTTCTTCCCCCTTTGCAGCTGCAAGGAATTTTAGCCAAATTAGAGAGGCCTTGTTACCCACAATTTGGAATTC